>NC_000006.12:7029696-7181212 GCF_000001405.40 Homo sapiens | reverse complement strand
TTTCCCCTGCTGTAGCTATCATTCACACGGAGTAGAAAATGAGTCTGTGTTGACCTCTTGTCTTCTTCTCTTGGTAGTACTCGTTGACACTGGAAGGGAAGCAAAGGCCCAAAGTGAACATCTTTTCACTTAGTGAAGAAAAAACTGAAATCATTTATTGGCTATAATCTTAGACCACTATATTCACAACAATGCAAGGAGCACAAATGAGAGGCAATGTCTGCCTTTCTTTCTTCCAAAACCACATTCTACAGCTGTTTCTCAACCTTATCTTAACCCCTACAGTACTGCCTGTTACGCACACTCCCAACAGCCAAAAGGACTCTGCAGTAAAATTTTACTTTCTAAAGCTCATATTTATACCCATGCATCAAATTCTCTTTCACACTGTGCCTCAGTCCCTTGCAAGGATGCTCAGGCTCCACTTGACCCGTCTCACGCCTTTATCTAAAAGTGACCAAAGACAAAACAGTTCAGGCATTCACTAAAGGCTGAGTTTAGACACTCTCAGGACAGACCTAAAAGAAACCTGGCGACATGAAAAGAATGACCAAAGGGAAAACTATGGCCCATGGCCATGTCACAATTTACTTTTTCAGGCCATGTGCGTTCCTTGCAACTAGACTATTATGGCTACAGGTCCAGTCAGTAGGTATGAAGTCTACTGCTTCCCTCATTTTAACTAGGAGGATATTCTACAGCTGAAGCCCTACCATAAGGTAATTGGATATTAAGATCCTATTATCCCACAATGTGTGCTAATAAATTCTACGAGTCCACAACAGCAGCTGAAGATCAAGCTCATCATCTCAGCTGTAAAGAGAACGTGTAGGAACAACACAAGGAAGAATATGATTTCTCATGGCTTCCTCCTCCAACTTTAGGGGATATGACCTAGCATATGAGAAATGGTACCACCCAGAGCAGCTACAAACCTGCAGTACCAGCCTAAATTCTTACCAAAAGGGCAAAAGGGAATCTTAGGGAAAGCACTTGTCTTGTAAAGAGATAAAATGTACCTTCCTTGTCAATAGACATTTTGAAGATGTGAATCAAATGGTTTTCCAACTGGTAGGTAAAAGGACTAACCGCAGAAACATACAATTTGAGACTATGGATCCAGCCTCTTTGTCCACATCTTTCTCCATAAAGAGAAGAAAGCTACAGCCCCCACCCCCCAAAAAAACATCTATACTTTCATCTTTCCATGACATTTCCCCATGCTAGCAGACCCTTTAAATTTATGAAGAATTGTGCTTCACACCGGGCACAGTTGCTCACAACCTTAATGTCAGCACTTTGGGAGGCCAAGGTGGGAGGGTCAACTCGAACCCAGGAGTTCGAGACCAGCCTAGGCAACACAGCAAGACCCTATCTCTACAAAAGATTTTTTAAAATTAAAAGAAAAAAAAAAAACTGTGTTTCAAACTTTCTGTTTTTAACTGTCTTTGAAGGTTTATTTTGGGTGATTTCTCTATAGGGAAAAAACATGTAGACACAAAGTGCATACATGAGTGTGTACACACAATTTTTTCTTAATGGACTACTAAAAAGAGAGTCATCAGTCCCTAGAATTTTTGTAATCAATCACATAATTACATACTTGATTCATAAATGGATACCTTCAATACTGAACTCACCTCCTTCTTTTAAATACGTATATCTCCCTCACAATTTTAATGTACAGAGAATTACAACATAACTGACTAGAAATCTCTCTTTCCTGTAATTGTTACAAACTTTCCACCAATTTATACTATGAGTTTTGAAGATGATCTTGCTTTTGTCCTATTACTACATTTAGAAAAGAGGGCTACTCCCAGCTACTTCAGAGGCCGAGGCGGTAGGATTGCTTGAGCCCAGGAGTTCAAGTCCAACCTAGGCAAAACAGCAAGACCCCATCTCAAATTTTAAAAGCAAAAACAAACAAACAACAAAATGTGTGTGTATGTGTGTAGAAAAAGGAAAGAAAAATGTGGTAGAGTTAGAGTTTGCTCAAGTCTGGGAACAGGTTAAACACCTTTAAGACTAAATGTAAAATTTTAAGTTATAAAAAAAATTCTAATTCTATCATTGAATAAGGGAAGGAAGTGGAGAGGAGGGAAATAATAAGCAAAGTGAAAAAAATATATTCACTAAACAGAGCCAAATTGCCAGTAAAAATTCTTTTCAGTCATGTTATCAAAGATACATTCTTGCAAACTACCTA
The DNA here is from genome assembly GCF_000001405.40 of Homo sapiens. Taxonomy (NCBI): domain Eukaryota; kingdom Metazoa; phylum Chordata; class Mammalia; order Primates; family Hominidae; genus Homo; species Homo sapiens. The sequence goes on along the minus strand of NC_000006.12, from coordinate 7,179,003 downwards.
AGTGTCTTAAACACAGAAAGCCTAGCAACAGTCAGTATAGTTAACCAATGTAAGGGCTGAAAATTGCAAAAGCTTATCCCACTTGAAAAGGAGAAAAGCCTTGTTGTTTGCCATTTTGTCTGGACAGGAAGATATTTGCTAAACATGTTTCTTCCTTGGGGATAAAGTATAAAGTGTGACACTACCCACTGATGACACCAAGATCACTTACATTTACTTCCTTTTCCTATTTTAAGTAAATAACAATTAAAAAAAAATAGAGACTCATCTCTAATCTGAAAGCGTAATTAATAAAATGAAACTCATAGCTACACTGTTTGAAAAAAAGAAAAGAGTCACTGGCCTCATCCCTGAGAATCTGTTCCAGAAGGAACCAACAACCAGCCCCTTGGGCTGTGACAAGATTGTACTTCAGTTTGTTCTTATGTCTTCTATTTGAGTTCTTCCTTCAGGACCACAGAGCAGGGAAGAAGGGGAAGAAGCTGGTGCAAGGCACAATGGAGCTCATTGTTCTACGTTAGAAAAAACCCACCATAACATGCGGGCTCTTCTACAAGATCATCGAACCAGAGCAAGCTGGCCAGTATTAGTTGGTCCTATCTACCCTATAACCACATCCTGGACAATTTTGGAACAACAGCCCAAACTAACCAACCTAAACCCTCTGATACTCAATCTCGGGGAATAAAAGACCATTACTAACATTTTTATGGTCTATTCACAAAGCATTTTTTTCTTTCTGGATATTTACAATCCTAGACTTTTCATTCTTTCTTCTGCAACATTTCTTCTCCCTGACATCACTCCAATATTAGTAATAATATATGTTATTATTATAAAATAAGGCCAGGTGTGGTGGCTCACACCTGTAATCCCAGCACTTTGGAAGCCTGAGGTGGGAGGATGGCTTGAGGCCAGGAATTTGAGACAAGCCTAGGAAACACAGCAAGACCCCACCTATACAAAATAAAAATCAGCCGGGGCCGGGCACAGTGGCTTACACCTGTAATCCCAGCACTTTGGGAGGCCAGGGTAGGCAGATCACCTAAGGTCAGGAGTTTGAGACCAGCCTGGCTAACATGGCAAAACCCCGTCTCCCCTAAAACTACAAAAATTAGCTGGGCGTGGTGGCACATGCCTGTAATCCCAGCTACTCAGGAGGCTGAAATAGGAGAATCGCTTGAACCCAGGAGGCAGAGGTTGCAGTGAGCTGAGATAGCCCCATTACACTCCAGCCTGGGTGACAGAGCAAGACTCCATCAAGAAAGACAAGAAAGACAGAAAAAGAAAAGAAAAGAAAAAAGAAGCCAGGTATGGTAGCATGTGTCTGTAGTCCCAGATACTTGGGAGGCTGAGTGGGAGGATCACAGGAGCCCAGGAGTTCAAAGCTGCAGTGAGCTATGATCACACCATTGCATTCCAGCCTGGGCGACAGAGTGAGACCCTGTCTCTTAAAAATAAATATCACTGGTCATATTCTAATATAATCTCTTCCAACTGGAATCAGCACTGGGAAACCAGATGAAGTTCCCAAGTCATAGATATGATCAACATTACCAAGCAGATGAACCTGGTGTTCCAGTTTTTAACACACATGGTCTGGATTTGGAGGGGAGGGAGGGAGAGAAAAGGGAAAAAAAAAAAGAGAGAGATGTCCAAAGTGTTGCTTCCTGAGACGAACCCTTGGCACCCTTTCTCATCCCACATTTCAGGCCCATCAGATCAAGAACTAACAAGTTATAGTTACAATTTCTTTCCTCCTTTTTTTTTTTTTTTTTTTTTTTTGTGAGACAGTCTCACTCTATTGCCCACACTGTAGTGCAGTGGCACTATCTCAGCTCACTGCAACCTCTGCCTCCCAGGTTCAAGCGATTCTCGTGCCTCAGCCTCCTGAGTAGCTGGGATTACAGGCACGCACCACCACGCCTGGCTAATTTTTTTTTATTTTTAGTAGAGATAGGGTTTCACCATGTTGGCCAGGCTGGTCTTGAATGCCTGGCCTCAAGTGATCTGTCCGCCTCAGCCTCCTAAAGTGCTGGAATTATAGGTGTGAGCCACCATGTCTGGCCTAGTTACAATTTCAACACGATTTTGCAACAAAGCCTCAGGAGGACCTGGAAATGGCATGACAATTAAACGGGAGGTAGGGGAGGGTAGGAGAGGAGGGCATGGGAAGACTCGACGTTCAACATTATTGTGACTCACTGCGAGTGAAAACTGTTTCACTAACCTGTTTTCTTTGTGTTATCAAGCTGCCCTCCTTATTGGGGGGCTGAACCTGGCTGGGCCCAAACGTGGGCAGGGTCACACCTCAGAGCCACCACTCCTGGAACACACAGTCGGAGCAACCTACAAAAATAAGAAAAGGTGATGTTAAAAGAGGATTAAGACCAGAAATGGTCCTCTGCTCAACATCACCGGGAGTCACCAATTAGGACTAGAAAACATTTCCCATCCCTTGCCTGCAATTACAAGCAAGCTGCCAGGAGCCAGGCTGATTCCATCCAGAGTTGTCCCATTAACATCCAAGTAAGAGCTTGGAACTGAGTGTGCCTTGAACAGACAGGAACACCCCTATCCCCCAGGCACATTCCAATAACGTCAAGGGCAGCACCATGTGAGAATGGCTCGGACCACTGGCTCCGGGGGGGAGCTTCGTGCATCCTAATGGCATGTTCACAGCAGACACCTACAGACTGCCAGTTTAACAAGAGAAAAGCAAGGCAGCAATTAGTGCTATCAGAAACAGAGGGGGAAAAATAAGACAGTTGAAGAAATTAAGAAATATACAACTAGCAGTGGCTCATGCCTGTAATCCCCGCACTTTGGGAGGCCAAGACTGAGCAGATCGTTTAGCTCAGGAGTTCGAGACCAGCCTGGACAACATGGTGAAACCCTGTCTCTATAAAAAACACAAAAATCAGCTGGGTGTGGTGGCATGCGCCTGTAGTCCCAGCTACTCTGGAGCTGAGGTGGGAGGATGGCTTAAGCCCAGGAGGCAGAGGTTTCAGTAAGCTGAGATTGCACCACTGCACTCCAGCCTGGGTAACAGAGCCAGACCTTGTCTCAAAAAATAAATAATAAGAAATATACAACTAAACAGTGCCTTAAAGTAGAGGAGAGATGATTACATCCTCTCGCAGGTGTGAGGAGAAAGTGTTGGTAACACACGTCAAATAGGACCAAATGCAGACCTTTTCCTTTCTGTAGGGAAGATGCAGAAAACATCTCAAATTACACATGCCCTTCAAAAGTTTGAGCAAGTCTGCTCTGGGGTGTCAAGGGCTTCAAAGCCCTGTGCTGGGAGAAAACTGGAATGCAGCATCTCCCAGAGCTACAGCATGTGGCCACATTCCCTGGCTCTCAACACAGCCTCCCTCAGCTAACGTGAAGAGCACAAAACTGGGAGAAAACTCAGAGGTAAAATAAACCCCACACGGACAACACCGGGCGAGAAACAACTGCTTGGCATATTTTCTCACTTTTATTCCCCTTCTGGAGCATCTACAGACAAGCTGCCCATCCATGCCACACAGCTGTCACCATGAACCTCAGGACTAACCCACAGGGACGGACCCTGTGCCACAGAAGGGAATGCAGAGACCCTCAAACTGGACATTATACCCCCCCCATCCCACCCCACTGAAACAATGCACATACTCTATACTCAACATTTTCATTCAGTACCAGGAGGGTCAGGGACCCTAGAAACCCACCCAGGGACAGCAGGGTAAGAATCCCTGTTTTGCGTGACACATGACCTGCCCTCTTGTAAACTATGAATCAAGCCCATTTTATGAAAAATACCCGTGGAGTTTTCAGAAATGCACAAACATCCTTTCAGACTATCTTCACCCATCTAAGGTGAAATTAAATATTGCTTAAAAAAAAGCAGTTATTCTTTTTTCATATTTTAATTAATAACAAATTTCATTAGGAACAAAGCCTGAAGAGGAATAGCCCTTTGGTTTTTTTCTAGAAACTGCCAAGATCTCCAAATAAATAGCATGAACCATAGTTTTACTCATAATTAATAAAAACACACTTCAAAATAAAAAGATATAACAAAAATTAAAATAAATAAATAAATAAATAGGCCAGGCGCGGTGGCTCACATCTATAATCCCAGCACTTAGGGACACTGAGGCAGGTGGATCACCTGAGGTCAGGAGTTTGTGACCAGCCTGGCCAACATGGCAAAACCCCATCTCTACTAAAAATACAAAAATTAGCTGAACATCATGGTGCACACCTGTAATCCCAGCTACCTGGGAGACTGAGGCAGGAGAATCACTTGAACCCGGAAGGCGGAGGTTGCAGTGAGCTGAGATTGTGCCTCTGCACTCCAGCCTGGACGACAGAGAGTCTGTCTCAAAAAAATAAATAAATACAATAAATAAACACACTTCAGAGTCTAAACAAGTGTCTAGAATTAAGATTTTCTAGCATGTAGCTAAGACTTCCATTAAAATTTAGATCTGCTGCCTCCCCTTCATTTCATTTTATTTTATTTCCCTTCATTTTAAAAAGACACCTTAAAAAAAGGTCCACCGGGTAGCGTCCTGGAAGCACACAGGACAGCAAGGAGAGGATGGTTTTAGAGAAAGAGGGCTAGGCTGAGAGACTTGACCTTGAAACTTCCATCCTCTTGCCCTTGGGTGTAAATGATTTGAATATTGAGAATGTCTTGCAATATAAAGCCAGAGTTCACGAGGCTGTTTGTTTTGGGTTCTATTAGGCCTGAGGGAGTCACAGAGCTTGAAGAGCGGAAAAGTACAAAAGAGTTATTAGAAGAAACTCTAAGACACCCCTTACCTCCATCAACAATGCTTCAGAAAAAAAAAAAAAAAAAGGAAAGACTAGTAGCACCCTAAAGATGACTCCTGTAGGTGAAGTGTGACAGAAAGCCTGGGTCTGGTTGTTGGTGGAGGCTGCTGAATTTCTGGATTTGCACTCCCACAAGATTTACGCAAAGTCAACGGAGGCAGGAGGACTAAGAGAGGGCGGAAGTCCCTCTGTGGGAGGAGGGAAAGGCCAGCCCCCAAGCCCCGGGGGAGATACGGGACAATGCTATGTAAAGCCAGAAACAGAAGATTAAGGGGCAGGTCTCCAGGTCTAAGGAGACAGCAATGAAGAGATGAAAGATAAGGGCTGCATCCCAGCTTCTGAAAAACCCGAGGGTTTCTTTCCTTTTTTTTCTTTCTTTCCCTTTTTTTTTTTCTGTCGCCAAGGCTGAAAGCCTGTAACCTCTGCCTCCCTGGTTCAGGCGATTCTTGTGCCTCAAGCCTCCCGGGTAGCTGGGATTACAGGCGTGTGTGCCACCACACCCGGCTAACTTTAATTTTTGCATTTTTAGTTGAGACTAAAATTGGGTTTTTAGGGTTTTGCCATGTTGCCCAGGTGGGTCTTGAACTCCTGGCCTCAAGTGATCTACCCGCCTCAGCCTCCCAAAGTGCTGGGATTATAGGCAAAAACCTGAGAGTTCTTTTTTTTTTTTTTCTTCATGTTTTTGAGACAGAGTCTCATTCTGTCGCCCAGGCTGGAGTGCAGTGACGCGATCTTGGCTCACTGCAATCTCCGCCTCCTGGGTTCAAGTGATTCTCCTACCTCAGCCGTGCACCACCACGCCTGGCTAGTTTCTGTATTTTTAGTAGAGACGGGGTTTCGCCATGTTTGCCAGGGTGGTCTCGAACTCCTGACCTAAGGTGATCCAAACCGCCCCAGCCTCCTGAGGGTTCTTGAAGTGAAATCTAAACTCTGTCCTAAGGCCCCCAGGAAATGTGGAATAAGTTTAGATGCCTAGGATGATGGTAGAGGCCCTGAAAAAAATGTTCCCACAGACGACAGAACAGTGGGTTTTACAACACTTGACCAGGATGGGCACAGTGCAGAGTCTCCACAACACCCTCAAATACTTGGGATGGCTGATCCATACTATGTAAGAGCCTAGTTGACCAGTTCAGGCCAACCCACGACAGGCTACAAGTTTTAGTTAAGAGATCAGACACTAAAATGGTCTGAGCCAGGAGGGAGCTTGACAAACAGCAAAGGCATCTCTTGAAGGATGGGCTGAGTCTTGGCTAGGCTGGGGACAGAATCAAACCAGGCTAAATGTTCCACGAGGGCCATGCCTGTTCTGCCTGCAAAGCTCGGGGCAAAACTATCTCTTCTAACCACCTCACATGTGCTCTGAGGGCTGAGACAGCTGTGATGACGGCTTTGAGTTCCAGGAAGTTGATGTGTTTCTTGGCTTAGGGTCCAGGCTATGCCTTGGATAGGGCGGCAACCCAAGAAAGTCACCCCCACCCCCCCACACCGGCAACCCGTGGCTGGCACAGGCTTTGGTAAGACAGGAGCCTTAGAGCAGGCCCCTACACCATGGGGCACCGTGAGCTGCTTCGTCCAACTCTGATCTTCTCTTCCTGGGTGAGAAGGGACTCCTAAGAGATTGGGGAGAGCTGGGCATGGTGGCTCATGCCTATAATCCCACCACTTTGGGACGGAGAGGCAGGAGGATCACTTGAGGTTAGGAGTTCAAGACCAGCCTGGGCAACACAGCAAAACCCATCTCTGATACAGAAAAAAAAGAAGCCGGGGTGGGGGGATGCATCCCTTGGTACAGGCCACATTCAAGACAAAAGTGCAGAGGTGAAGGGGGGCAGCAAACTTGGGACCCAAGATATATATGTCGGCCTCCTCTTTGGGTATCTTCTGAGCTCCAGAACACTCCTATACTCTCATCCTCTCAAGACTACAGCAAGCCAGGCACAGTGGCTCATGCCTCTAATCCCACCACTTTGGGAGGCCAAGTGGGAAGATCACTTAAGACCAGGAGTTTGAGACCAGCCTGGGCAACGAAGTGAGACCACATCTCTATAAGAAATTTAAATATTAGGCAGGTATGGTAGCACCCTCCTGCAGTCCCAGCTACTTGGGAGGCTGAGGCAGGAGGATTGCATGAGCCCAGGAGTGCGAAGCTGCACTGAGCTAGCATGACGTCACTGTACTCAAGCCTGGTCAACAGGGCCAGACTTTATCTCCAAAAAAAAAAAAAAAGACTAATGGTCAGGCTCTTTAACCTGCCATTCAAGAGTCTCCATGCTCTGGCCTCAGTCCACCTTCTGGCCCCGTCGCACACCAGTCCCCTTGGTTACCCTTTCTGCTCAGTTCCTTGCCCCAGAATATCTGCCTGCACCCCTCTCCTGACCTCATCCCTCATGGCCATGTTCCACATGACTCCCACTGACCCATGGCTCGTGGTTCCAAATTCCAGGACACACTCACCTCTAATGTTGCCATCACACCCATCACACTTCATCATGGCTAACCATTTTTGAGCACCATGTGCCACATGCACTGTCTCATTTAATCCTCAAAACAACAACCATGAGGATTGTTCCCAGTGTACAGCCATAAAGACAAAGGTTGAGAGGGACTGAGTCACTTGTCTCCAAGATCCTAGAGCTGCTGCGTGGTAGAGCAATGTAATAAATCCAGTTGCTGAACTCTGTTAAATTTCTTTTGGAAAAGTGTGCGACTCCTGGCCCATGGCTGGAGAGCACAGGTGTGCTCCCTTAGTCACGTTCTCTGACTTCTAATAATCTCGCTCTGCATCACTGCTGCCCTTCCAGATGCTCTGCACCTGGCTTTCCATTTCCGTCCCCGTCAAGGCAGGAAGGCGGAGTGCTCTCCTCCCCCTTCACCTCTGCCCTCCTCTCCCTGGCAGGAGGCAGAACTGGACTTCCACCTCAGTCTAAAAGGTTCGTTGCAGCGGGCAAGAGTTTGGAAACACTACGCTTGCTCTGCAAAGTGATGGGGCACTTCACGTTATATACCCTTGTGTTCTAGAAGCAGCCAAGCAAAGGAGGCTCTGCCTGAATCCTGAACAGTCTAGTCCTATCTGATGAGCTGACCTTGCAGAGAAGATCCACCAACACGAGGCAGGGAGAAATTAACTACTACAGACCCTCCACCAAACAAACCCCAAGGGCATGAGCATCCAGCCCTTTATTAGAAATGCAAATTCTCAGTCCCACCCCAGACCTACCGAGTCAGAAACCCTCTGGGGGCTGGCACAGCAGTGTGAGTTTCTGAGTTAACAGCTCTCTGGAGGCTTCCATCCAGCCCTGAGAACCAGCTCATGAAGAAGCTCAGGATCTCACTGAAAACCTTCCTTTAGTGAGGATTTGGGAGAAGCTGCTTGGCTTATCATACACCTCCAGAGCAAAAACCAAGGCCCTGGGTCAGAGACAAAGATCCCCATTTCTAACTCTGGCTTTATCTACCACAATAAAAAATAATAATAAATGAGGGACAGGGAGGAATGGATCTATGCAGGGCTTCCTCAGGAACAAACACACATCAGAGGTAGGCTTCAGACAGGCAAGGCCAGCCTGCAGTGCATGGCTGGCAAAACCACATGGCCTGGGCCTTCACGCAGCCCTGGATCCTAAAAGCCTTCTCTCCAGCAAACAGCAGTTGCCAAGCCTGTGGTACTTCCCGAAAAGCTCCTTGGAGGTGGTTGTGGATCACCTCCAAACCTGAGCCCTTCAGCCAGGATTCCTGGTGGCCCCGGATACCCTCCCTCACCTCTCTGCTGCTCCTGGGCAGTGAGGAGTGAGCAACAAGGGGCAGGTGACGGGGAGAACAGTTAGGGAGATGACCTCAAGGGGAGACACGCAGCCCTGGGGTTCCCTCTTACAGCCTTGGAAACTGCTCACCATCTACTACAGTTTATCTCTTAATGGGACCAGAGGGTGGAGGAAGGAAAATCAGAGGTCATTCTCACAGGCCAGGGTGTCTGCTCCTTACTCTGACTAGGTTTCAAATACCCCGCTGGTCTTGACCTGGAGCATTTTATTAGAAATAACACAAGCTACTGATGCTCCTTTTCAAAAGCAATGTCGGTTGTTCTTAGGTAAAGGAAAACTTCAATATTTTGTAAAGTGTGGGGGAAGGAGCAGCTTAATGCAGAGTAATAGGTTCCATGCAGGAAGCAGCTTCTCTTAAAAATCACTTGGACATTTAAATTATTACATTAAATATAACTTCAGCAGGGAGGCACACATTGACTGGGGAGACAGGGTCCCTGCCTACCAAATTTATCTACGTCAGTCAGATTGAGTATTTAAAACATGATCCACGGGAGAGCTAGGGAGATTTTCTGGACAATGCCAGATAAAACCATCCTGTGGTACCCCATTCTTCTTCCTGCACCTCTCTGCAAGGCTCTGTGCTTCTTTAAAGGAAGGAAATGGGGCACAGTCCCAGTGATAAGCTTTCCTGCTAGTACATGAGGACTATGAAGAAGCTGACTCCACTTCTTGTAGCTCTTCTCCAGGGAGCATGTCTTCCTGCCAGGATCTAACTACTGCCAGATTTGCAAGGCCAAGACACAGCTGCTAAATGGCAGCCATTTGTCACACAGCACCCGGCTCCCCTGGGAGGGGACACAGCAGCCCTCGGCACTCAGCTGTGGGAAGAGTTGAGTCCCTGGCCCTTTCCCCAAAAAAGCCAGACTTTTCCTAAACATTGTTTTTCAGCCTGCCTGCCAGGACCCTGGTATTTCATCACTTTCTTGCCTAACTTAGCAGAAACATGTATCGTCTCTACTCTGGGTGCCCAAGGTGGACTATGCTCTAATAAGGAAGCACCCATGCTGGACCACAGGGGCAGAGGGCCCACAGGGCACCCTCACCTACCCCCAGGGCAAGGCAGGGTTTCCTGGGCCAAGGCTAAAGATGTCCCACAGGGAATTAAGTTGAGCAGCTCCCCTGCCCTGTCCCACCCTAAGATCTGCTCTCCTGGCTTATCAGGTAGACCCAGGTGCAAGAAAGGGTAGGAAGAGGCCTCCACAACACACCTTGGTTGAGGAATTTGAAAACAGAAAAGAATGTTGCTATAAGTAACAGAAAACAGGATTCAAGTCAGAGTATACTGGAAATCTAATGTGCATCCAATTATATTTTTTCCAGAGCACCCACTTCCCTGATAACCTAGGGCACTAACACTTGTGACATAAACTCTATGCTAGAAATATGCTAGGCACTTTACATATATTTAATCCTCCCCCACATCTTGTAAGGTAATGATTAGGTTATTTGCTAGATATAGCACAGCTCTTAAAGGGCGGAGCCAGGAGTCTAGCCTGGGGTTGTCTGACTCCAAAAATCTTGTACTTTCCACTGTAGCACAAGAAGGGTCTTTGAAAAACCATTTGGAGAAGGGTCATTAGCAAGCTAGAGGATTGGGAAACCAAGTCAAGGGGAAAACTGGAAATGGCTAACAGAATGGAGACAAGAGCCAGCTACAAAAGCTGCAGGACTGGTGTGTGGAAGAGGGGCACACTCATTGCACAGGTCCACCATGGAAGGAATGAGGCACAAACAAGTAACTCTGGAGCTCCATGATTCTTTAAACCAGAGCTTTGAACTAAGCCCTCAGATGGATACAGGCCAGATAAGGTAATGAGCTCGCTGTCCCCAGGAGTCTTCAAGCAGAGGGTGGGTAACCACTAGTTAATTAAAAAGCAAACAAAAAACCCCAGTCCGGCAATGGGTGGGAGACCAGGTTAGAAGACTCTTCTGACTTCCAGATTCTGCACTTCTAAGGGGACAATCTATCTTGCATAACACTTGTCCTCTCTGCATAATACCTTAAGATTCCAAAAGCATGTGCAAGAATAAACCATTACAGCATAACTTTAAAAGCACATGACATGGGGAATCTTTTTTTTTTTTTTTTTTTTTTCAGACGGAGTCTCACTCTGTCACCCAGGCTGGAGTGCAGTGGCATGATCTCGGCTCACTGCAACCTCTGCCTCCTGGGTTCAAGTGATTCTCCTGCCTCAGCCTCCCGAGTAGCTGGGATTACAGGCATGCATCACCACACCCGGCTAAATTTGTATTTTTAGTAAAGATGGAGTTTTGTTGAACAGGCTGGTCTCAAACTCCTGACCTCAAGTGATCCTCCCACCTCGGCCTCACAAAGTGTTGGGATTACAGGCGTGAACCACCGTGCCCAGCCTGACATGGGGAGTCTTAAATTTTGGCCTGGAAATCCAGCTTGCCATCAATGGAGCCACCGAACTCTGAGCCTCAGTTCTCCTAGCTGAAAAATGAAGCTGATAACACTGCCCTCCTTACCTTACAATATAGGTTCAAAGGAGTGCTTGTTAAAATACTTTACAAACATTGTGGCATCCTCCAGCATGCGAGCTACTGATGCTACACTATTTATCCTCCAACATTCCAGGTAGTCCCTGGGATGATTCTCCTAACTCCTCAATTCACCCATCTGCTTCCCCTATTGGATTGCCAAAACCTTGAAGGCAGGAGCTCACCTTGATGGTCTTCTAAAAAAATTCCTGTCCCCGGCCGGGAGCGGTGGCTCACGCCTGAGGCGGGTAGACTGCCTGAGGTCAGGAGTTCGAGACCAGCCTGGCCAACATAGTGAAACCCCATCTCTACTAAAAATACAAAAAATTAGCTGGGCGTGGTGGCGGGTACCTGTAATCCCAGCTACTCAGGAGGCTGAGGCAGGAGAATTGCTTGAACCCAGGAGGCAGAGGTTGCAGTGAACCAAGATAGTGCCATTGCACTCCAGCCCGGGCAACAAGAGCAAAACTCCATCTCAAAAAAAAAAAAAAAAAAAAATCCTGTCCCAGCCCACAAGTTGGACAATTTAAAATAAATATAATTTGGCTTTTCCCAAATGCAATCCCCTGGCCAATGAGAACAGCTGCTGACACAGTCGCCATGCTATCTGGCGACCAGGAAATAAAAACCCCTCTGACTTCAGTTGCTGCTGAAACCAATCCTGGTCAGCTTCACGTTTGGTTAATTACGGAAGTACACACTACTGGCTGCCACAGGGATGCAGCTCTTTCTTCCCTATATTCACCAAGCTGCTTCTCTCCCAACTAACTGCAGCACCTGAATACAGCATGGCTGACACCATGACAATGTATGGTAGAAATGGGAGTGTTCTGGGACACATCTCTGAAGTGAATCTAAGTATCTTCGGTCACATTTCCAGCTTCTGGTAAGAAGCTAGGGTAAAGTTCAGTAGCAGTTTGCATAGAGTTTTAGGCAATATCCTGCAACTCTTTCACAGGCCCTGAGGTCGCCGGGCTGGCCTTTCTGACATGCTCAGGGAAAGGGTGCAGCAGCAACGGGATTCTCCACTTTGCCCCAGGGACGAGCTGCAAGCTAAGCAATCCCAGGGCAGGTGATTTACCTTAAATCTGGGCTTCGAATTCCCAGAATTCAGGATGACACTCCTTAGAAAACCAAAATGACTTGTGGAAGATACAAGCGTTTGAAATGCTTCTCCCCTAACAGCTTAGCTTAGAGAAGGCAGTGGAAGGAGGAGATCACATCTTTCCTCGCCCATTGGAAAAGTGGTCAGCTGTGGTCAAAATTTCACAGTGCGTAATCAGACGTTACAAACCGTCAGCTGGGAATGACTGTGTGCGGTGAAGTGACCACGCCCAGCTCCCAGGAGCTGCATGGGCTGCCCTCCGCCATACAACAGAAAACCTCCCATCCCCTCACCCCCAAATTCGCCTCTAAGAAAAGTATTTACTACTGTGCATATGAAGGAAAACAAATGCTCTGAGATATAAGTGGTTGATAAGTGTTTATCACAAGCTAGCCAACCAAAAACACTGGCAAGCAAATGGGTTTTCTTAAAGTAAACTGAGCAAACCAAAAATGACTAGCAGGCAGGATGGGCCTTTTTGGAAAGCCCATGTGCAGCTGGGAGAGGAGGTGGCATGTTCCTGGACCAGCAGAGGCACCTTGGAAGGAGGGGGCCAAGGCCAGGGGCTGGCAGTTGGGGGTGGGAGTGGGGATTAGTGCAGTCCTGGAGGAAGTGTGAGGCACACAGGCTCTCCAGGCGGTGATTAGTTCACAACTGCACTCCCTGGGGGGTCTAACTGCACAAAGGGCCACCGCCCCTCCACGGCCCAGCGGGGCCTGAAACAAGCATCATGTCCCTGAAGCACACTTGTTCACTTGCTTTGGATTGAGCTCACACAGGGCACTGAACATGCCCAGGCTCTTAAGTGTGGGTTCATGTTTACAAGCCCCACCCTGAGAAACAGATAACCCCTTTGCAAGCCCCCAAACTCCCCCCAAATGTTACAAAGAACAGGAAGGAAAACTGAAAAGGGGAGATAGACACCAGCAGGACAGTCTCTTCCTTCAAACTCTTTCATACCCGGGCAATAATTGGGTCAACACCAGAAGCACAACTAAGAGGAGATGCGCACACTTCAGAGAAGCACAGCCGCCCTGCCTGCTCATCTGCCCAGTCCAAGGGCAGCTGGACACGCCCACCCAGTCCCCATGGGTCAGACACACCTTAACAGGGAAAATCTCTGTAGCACACAGATTTGTAAATCCAAGCTGATGCCTATTTAATGTAACCCAGTATGTAATGGGAACATTCTCAATCAAAAGCCTACCTCTACCAGTATTTTCATGACATGAAATTGTTTTGGCATACTTTTGAAACCAAGTCCTGCTTCTCAGAATTCTTCAACACGCTTGTGATCATAAAAATGAGGCATGTCTTGCTCACCACCCGTAATTTACTTGAATGCATGTGACAAAGGCACCTTCATGTTGTTTAAAAAGGACATCCCTACTCTTTCCTTTTATCTTCCCTTAACAGTTTGTTATCCAGTGTTAGGAGGGGCCTAGCCTCCAACAGTCCACACTTTTATCTCCTGCTGACCACACGAAGGCAAGGGCTGGACTTCCTGCAGCTCGCCTAGAGGGGCTGTTTGACTTGTTTAAAATATTTGCCTCCAGAGCCTCTTGGAACAATGCCCAAGCAACACCTACCCGGCATCCATTGCAGCTCCAACTCTAACAGCCTTCAAGTCCAACGGATAGCACTCCTTGTGCCTCTGTGTGTGAGAGGCCAATGCTTCCGAGAAGAGAACTTACTTTCAGGGCTCACTTAGACATTTGCTTTCTGTCTGCTGCAAACACAAGAGCTATCTTCATCAAAGTCCAGAAACCCGAGAAGTTAGTTACAGTAGCTCAAGTTAAATGTAGTTTACACTACTATTCTTAAAATAATTCAGTAGCATTTAATAGCGTCCTTTAACCACTGGAACTGAAAGCAGAACACCATGTCCTTGCACAAGCAAATGGCCTGGAATACACTGGACCCCTCGCCTTTGGAGCGAGGCCAGGTCGTGGTCTTTGATTTTCCTCCCAATCCTAACTCTGTGCCTGAGATTTGACTCTGTGGGGATGTCTAGGTGTTTTTAGGTTCAGACTCAAAAGCACTTCCATCTGCCTGGCACTTAGAGCTTTGCTGTGAATATCCAGGACTCAGTATAGCAGCAAAATCCACTCTTTTGTGCATCAATCAAGAGGGTTGTGAGACTGTGCTTGTCACTTATGGGATGGGATGACCTGAGGGAACTCACACACCAGTGGACAGAGTTCCTGACTCCCTGCCATACAAGGGTAGGAGTTCCATTTTCTTGGCATCCCATCAGCATATGTGAGGTTAATGCATTCAGAAAATGATTAAATCAGACATTTACCACAGTCCCCCTGGAGTTCCTTTCTGGGATACAAAAGATCTTCCTAAAATCAATTAAGGAAAGGAGAAATTTCCTTGCCCAAATACCTACCACTGAACCCCTAACAGTCACACAGGTAAGAGAACCGGGTGGGGGAAAGGAGATGGGCAGTGGGGATTGATGATAGTAGGTAGGGAAGGCCATGGCGAAAAGGGTGGGAGGTGAGGAACAGAAGCCAGCTTACAGAATGAGTCCACAATCTGAATTTCTGCGCCAACTCTCCAGAATGGAGCCAGTATTTTTTAGGATCTTTTTTTTTATGAGTCTAGATAATAGATGAGTCAGACAGGGCATGTGTGGCGACCAGAGGAACTGTGCTGTCCCCCCACAGAACTTAGAACGGTGCCTCTATGTGGCCCCTCTCCTACAGCCACAGGACCCAGCCCCGATAGGGGCCCATGGGAGAACAGGAGCCAGCTGACTGGCTCAACCCCACCGGCCAAACGGCAAGTACTCTTCAGCATCCTCAATTTCCTCCCAGCCACGAAGTCAGGAACAACCTGTACAGACAAAGAAAATAGAAAACTTGCGAAACAATGGCATCTATCATGCTCACTGGATATGTCCGAGGAAACTTTTTCAAAGTCCTTGAAGATGCTTCATTATACTTCTGCAAAGAAAATGCAGTCCACTATACCCAGGCACACACGTGCTCACACAAACTCAATTTCATGCTCTGCCAGCCCCACAACTAAAACGCTGAAGTGCCAGGCGCGGTGGCTCACGCCTGTAATCCCAGCACTTTGGGAGGCCGAGGCGGGCAGATCATGAGGTCAGGAGATCGAGACCATCCTGGCTAACACGGTGAAACCCCATCTCTACTAAAAATACAAAAAAAAATTAGCCGGGCGTGGTGGCGGGTGCCTGTAGTCCCAGCTACTCAGGAGGCTGAGGCAGGAGAATGGTGTGAACCCAGGAGGTAGAGCTTGCAGTGAGCCAAGATAGCACCATTGCACTCCAGCCTGGGCAACAGAGCAAGACTCTTTCTCAATAAATAAATAAATAAAATAAAATAAAACGCTGAAGTCAAAGAACAGCCTCAGTCACCAAACCAATTTAGAATGGGAACTAACACATTTCCACGAAGTATTTCAGAGGCCAGTGACTTCCTGGAGTGCTCCCAATCTGCAAACAGAATTTTCCTAAGGGGTAAAAAAAAGGCTCAACAGATTATACAAATGGCTACCTGGCCACGGTAAATATGTGAGAAAAAACTCACTGTCTCTTTATTCCTTGTAGTTAAACTTTAACGCTCTGCTCTCATCAAGGGAAGAATAGTCCTTTCAAGGCTTCCTCCAAAAGACACTGCTAATTATGGTGATGGCTTTCTCTTACCCTACTAGTCAAGATTCACTTTTAATGGATGAGAGTTTGGAAGATAGATATGCAAGTGTGGTGGTGGGTACCTGTAGTCCCAGCTACTCAGGAAGCTGAGGTGGGAGGATCGCCTGAGCCCAGGGAGGTTGAGGCTACAGTGAGCACTGACCGTGACACTGCACTCTAGCCTAGGCAACAGAGTGAGACCCTCTCTCAAAAAATGAAAAAATAAAAAAATAAAAATAAAATAAAATAAAATAAAGGGGAGCAGTCTACTCAGTTTCCTGCAGCTGGAGTTGTAGGCCCATCCTTGCTGCTTTCAGAGTGTATCCAATCCGTAGGCAGAGAAAAATGGGTATTCTCAGCATGTTGTTAAAATTAGTGGCTTAAAATATTCTATACTGTTTGTATACCCTACACATAGGGTAAGGTTTGGGATCTGTGCGAAAACCTGGGAGATTATGACGATCATCCTCAGACATCTAAGGCTACTAACATTCCAGGTGCCAGAACCACCAAGAGCTGTAAGACAGAGAGCCCTGGCTTCCTATGTCAGAGGAAACACAGAGAGGGAAATTTCAACTCCAGGGAACCTGGAGTATGAGCCAAACACTTCCAGAGCTGCAGTGGCTCACCAGAGGTAAGCACCACTGAGTGCAAGGCGAGGGCAGCACAGCAAAAGCAAACCTGAGCTTGAAGAAGAGATTCGCCTCCCAGCCACACGCAGAAAGCTGTTAACACAGTGTGCAGAAAAAGCAGATGATTTGCTGAGTTTCTCACAATGCTGAATTCATTCTTTTTTTTTTTTAGGGTAAACTGCCATCTTTTAAAATGAGATAAAGACAGTAGATGGTAGAGATCATTTTTTAATGCCCTTACTTAGCAAAATAAAAAAACGGCAACCTTGTGTCTAACTGCAAAAGTTTTGTGTGTCTTGTCCATGAAAACAAAACCCCTGGGAGCTATCAGAGTGCACCAGTGTGTTTTGAGAAAGGAGGGAGAGTGCAGTGGGGGAAATGGCAAAGATGCGGCTGGCAGAATGATGCTGGGCTCAAGGTTCCATCTAAGAGCCATGAACTTTATCCTGTTGCTCTGGAAACCCACTGAAGGGCCCCTCCTCACAATTTTTAAAGCCCACGATGAAATAATCGTATCCACAGCTTAAAAAGCTCTTGGTAGCAGATTTAAAAATGGACAATCAGAGGTATATAACCCAGTTAGGAGGCACTGCCATACTCTTAAGGGACAGGGGCACTACAGCTGGTGGGTGGAAGCAATGCTGTAGAGAAGGAACCAAAAGGAGGCCAGGCAGGCGTCGAGAATGAAGGGCAGGAGTTAGGAAGAGAGCTCCCAGGACAGGAGAGAGTAAAGAGCATGGATGGTTATCAAGTAGGATTTAGAGGAGTTTTGTTTTAAAGCAAACCTACAAATAAATATCTATAACCAAAATGCAGCAGATGGGGAAAAACAGCTGGTTTTGAGAAAGATAGGAAAGGAGGGCATGGGGGATCCCAGGCACAGGAAGATGAAACACAGTGAAACATAACACAAACACAGGCAACCATACTAATATACATGTTAATTGTCAAACTGAACTCTATGAACAGTTGTACCTCTTTCTCTTCTGTGTCAAGTCTAACCATCCTAAGAACATCTGCAGTCTTTAATTTGTTTGCCTCCTGGGGTTTTTAAACCCTAAAGCAGGAATAAAGGTGATCTGGGATGGTTTTACCTGCAGGCTTGGGAGGGGAGTTAGTGGATCTCAAAGTAACTTACTTTGCCTAGTGTTGACTAGAGTTTCAGTTCATAGAGGGAAATAATCCATGAAACCAACAATAGAGGGACGTGTCATAAGCAGGCTGACCTCTCCCAGGTGAGTCATCCCCACCCTGCCCCATCTACCCTAAACCTGCTTGAACCTGGTCCCACCTCAAACATAAAGGTCAATGTGGGCTGGACACTGTGCCTCACACCTGTAATCCCAGCACTTTGCAAGGCCGAGGCGAGAGGATCGGTTTGGCCCTAGAGTTCGAGATCAGCCTGGGCAACATGGCGAAACTCTATCTAGACAAAAAACACAAAAAGTTACCCAGATGTGGGCCGGGTGCAGTGGCTCACGCCTGTAATCCCAGCACTTTGGAAGGCTGAGGCGGGTGGATCACGAGGTCAGGAGATGGAGACCATCCTGGCCAACAAAGTGAAACTCCATCTCTACTAAAATACAAAAATTAGCTGGGCATGGTGGCGCGTGCCTGTAATCCCAGCTACTCAGGAGGCTGAGGCAGGAGAATTGCTTGAACCAGGGAGTCGGAGGTTGCAGTGAGCTGAGATTGCACCACAGTACTTCAGCCTGGTGACAGAATGAGACTCCGTCTCAAAAAGAAAAAAAAAAGAAAAAAAAAAAGTTATCCAGGTGTGGTGTTGTGCGCCTGTAATCCCAGCTACTCAGGAAGCTGAACCGGGAGGATTGTTTGAGCTCAGGAGGTCAAGGCTGCAGTGAGCGGTGATCACACCACTGCATTCCAGCCTGGGTGACAAACTGAGACCCTGTCTCAAAAAAAAGTCAATGTGTGAAAACATGGGAAAATGTTTATAAAGTTAGGTCAAGTTTAAAAAGCTAGCTGGCACATTTAAGATTCTATGCTATACTTATGGATAAAGTCTAGAAAAGGCAATCTGAAACAACGTATGTATCATGAGAATACAGTGCTTTTTTAAGTATAATTTGATGTCACTATTTTTTTTTAAAAAAACTTAACATAATTTTTGAAAATATACCAGAAAGACCCAACTATTCGTGACGCCAGGAGTTTGAGACCAGCTTGGGCAATATAGCAAGACCCCTGTGTCTAAAAATTTTTTTTAATTTGCTGGGCTTGGTAGTGAGCTATAATTGTACCACTGAACTCAAGTAGCCTGGGTGGCAGAGGGAAAACCTGTCTCATTTAAAAAAAAAAAATGCAAAAAAGAAAGTGATCAAATTTCAGTCCTTAATTGCACCCTGCCCTCCCTCCCCCAATTTATGTATCTTTAGTCTGTAGCTCAGTGCCTGGCACACAGTAGGCATTGTTTCTCTCAATCTATAACAGGTACTGCAAGCCAACTATGGGCCAGCTGAGCTGAACAGATGACATGCTTAGGTTGATAAGCCTTGTTCTGTAGACAAGTGCAAGAGTCATACCCTTGAAACCACATGTAAAATGCAGACAGTATTCAGCTTTAGGAAAATAGTCCATA
The DNA here is from genome assembly GCF_000001405.40 of Homo sapiens. Classification (NCBI taxonomy): domain Eukaryota; kingdom Metazoa; phylum Chordata; class Mammalia; order Primates; family Hominidae; genus Homo; species Homo sapiens. The sequence continues at coordinate 7,159,844 of NC_000006.12, read as the reverse complement.
AATTTGATCAGCCTTTCAAAAGAATCTATGATTTCCAGGAAAGGACAGAACTACGGCAGTGGTCTGACCCTCAGCAGATTTAATCCTACTTTTGGAGAGTTAAGGAGACTGGCAGGCTTTTTCCTTACTTACTACTGCCATCAGTTTCAGGCAGGCCACCAACAATAAGTAAAAACACTGGCAACACCAAATCCTCTAACCTTCCCTTTTCTTGTAAAGATGAGATGAGATAAACCATCTCATCAGCGTTTTGATATTTCACTCAAAACATTATTGACACAAGGCAATAACCCAGTGAACATTCGTTAAATCAATTCCTAAAGCAATCCGCCCAGTGCCTGTAATAAACAGTTATAATTTTAAAACAGAACTCATCCTCTGGAAAGGAACGAGAGGGGAGACATCCTTGTGAGCCCCATCTATGCGGCTGTCCCGTTATTCCAGGAATGATGTTGGGATTCGAGTTAGTTTCTGAATGATGACTATCAGGTTAAAACTTTCTCAGTGTGACTGTGAACACATCTAGGCCATCAAAGATGCTGGGGAGGTTTTCTGTAAAGAAGTCCTCCTGTGGGTGTAAACATGGCCCACAACCTATCAATTCCTAGGAACCTCAAAGGGGTCACAGAATAGAGGGTGGTCTTACGGAGAATGTTTGTTTTGCAATAAGTAAGAGGTACAGGGGCCTTAGTGATCCTTTTAAATTTAAGTCAACAATCATTAAATCTGAGTCCCCCTATGCACTGAACATTTCTGCTTACTTAAATTGCAGTGCATAAATCGGCTATAAAAGGAGGGATTATATCAACTATAAAATTCAAAAGTCACAACCAGGGGAGTGGGAAAAGTGACTGTGATTTAAAGGTGTTTGGAGGGTAGGGGTGAGCTGGCTCAGTCCTTCTTTTATCCTGTGTCCTTTGAAGATGAAAACTAATCAGTTTTTTCCTGGCCTTTAAGCTATCAAGGTTTAAAAAAAAAAGAGTCTGAAAAAAATAAACAAATGGGACCCACAATCTACCTTCAAATGATTTGGGGGTGAAATACTCTACTTTAGGCCCTCAAATATTTCTTGATGATAAAAATGTATGTCAGCTACTTCAATTAGTAACTCCTGATCCACTACTAGGTTGGGGTGGGGAACTCCATAAGCTTACCACTTGGTAAGAGGTAAAAGAAAGCTTGGGAAGGTAAGAGAATTAAGTGCTGTCTATACAATTCTAATTTTAGGTCTAGAAAAAGCAGAGATTAGTGGACTGGGGTAGTGTAAGAGGAAGGGTATGGAGGTGGAGGCTGGAGGGAGCTGATACCCAGGAAGTACCACAAGAAGCCCAGGAGCCAGGTCCTGCTGAAGGGCAGGGGCCTCATTACAGAGGGTGTGTGTGGAGTGGGCAAATTACAGGAGGTGGGAGAGTTGGGGTTGGGTCTGGGGCAGTAGGGGGTGTAGGCTGAGAAAAGTGATGTAAGAGTTTTAAGAAAACCTGTTTGAACATGGTATGGGATTGCAGGGGAGGGAGACCTGCCTACAAACGGGAACAAAGGGAATAGGGAGGGAAAGTTAAACCTGAACAACTTTCAAAGGGGAGGCAGGTGGGGTAGACAATGGAAAGGGCAGAAAGGAAGAGAGTCGCTCTGGCCACAGGCAAGTGTCCTGGGGCACTAAATGGTGCTTGGGAAGAAGTTTTAGATTGTTAGGGGGGTTAGGCTACATTCTTTTGCAGAGATTCTTGAATGTGAAGAAATGGAAAGGGATCCAGAAGGTCTTGGTCCTGTGGGATTCATACCCTGAAGAATGCACGTGGGATGAATCCCTCCACAGAGAAGTCAGGCATGAGCCGGCTGATGATATTCAGGGCTAAGCAGGGTCACTGATGAGAACATGAAAACACCCCTGGTAGGGCACAGGCACAGCAACAGGGGCTGGCAAGGATGAGGTCCCCAGGAGGCAGGAATCCAGACAAATGTGAAGGCATTAGCAGCGAGTGGTAGAGCCCTCTTCTGGAGTCAGGAGGGATGAAAGAGCAAAGAGGAACAGTGGAGAGGGAGCACAAGAGAACTCGTAAGTTGGATTTTTTTTTTTTCCCAAAGAGACAGACAGAGTCTTGCTCTGTCACCCAGGTTGGAGTATGGCTCACTGCAGCCCTGACTTTCCAGGATCAAGCAACCCTCCGACCTCAGCTTCTCAAATGCTGGGACCACAGGTGCGCACCACCACACCATGCTAACTTTATTTTTTTTTTGGAGAGACGGAGTCTCACTATGTTGCCCAGGCTGGTCTCGAACTCCTGGGCTCGAGCAATCCACCTGCTTCAGCCTCTCAAAGTGCTGGGATTACAGGCATGAACCACTGTGCCTGGCCCATGGTCACACAGGGTACATGTGCACACAGTAGGCACTCAATTTTTTTTTTTTTTGAGATGGAGTCTTACTCTGTTGCCCAGGCTGGAGTGCAGCTGCACGATCTTGGCTCACTACAACCTCCACCTCCCGGGTTCAAGCAATTCTTGTGCCTCAGCCTCCTAAGTGGCTGGGACTACAGGCACGCCCCACCACACCTGGCTAAGTTTTTGTATTTTTGGTAGAGACAGGGTTTCACCATGTTGCCTAGGCTGGTCTCCAACTTCCTGAACTCAAGCCATCTGCCTGCCTCTGCATCCCAAAGTGCTGGGATTTCAGACGTGAGCCACCGCGCCCAGCCAAATATTTTACTAATTAATTAGTCATCTCCAAAAAATGGGCAGTCGGGTCTTATACTATGAGTAAGAAGAAGAGAAAAGAAGAGCTGATGGATTACGGAGCAAAGGACCCCAGGGAGCTGGGGCAAGGCAGCCCAGCGGCAGTCAGACAGACAAAGTCCTCCCCAACAGCCAGGGACGACGAAGCTGAACAGAGGGGCAGCTCTTGGTCAGCTTTGGCATTTAAGACCATGTGATCTCAAGGTGCTCTTGAACAAGAATGGGTACACAGGAGCAGCCAAGTGGCACTCTGGAACCCTCTCCTCCTACTCAGGGTACGTACACAGCATCCTGTTTCCTACGCTGGATGGCTGGCTAAGGAGAAGGAAGGAAAACTAAGATTGTCTTATTTCAAAGGGCTGCAACTATATTCCAGCTGTTACAGGCAAGCCTGTTATGTTTCTTCCAACGGATGCCCAATTCACACACATAGCTGCTCTCCTCAAGAATAAACAAGTGGATTCTATATACAAATACCAAGGGCACCAGGTCTCCAAAAGGAGAAAAAATTTGTTTTACAAATGTCCAACCCAAAATGGCTTTCACATTTTTTTCAGGGTGAATTTTGCAGCTCTAACCCAGATGTGGCTCAGTGCGGAAGGTGGCTGGGAGAGCCACAAGGGACTGGCTGGTGTTCCCTCTTAAGAGGCAAAAAGCACATCAAGGGCACAGTGTTCCCTGGCCTTCCTCACAGGTTAGATTGGTCTGAGCAAATCTGTGATTCAATTAGTGTGAGTTCAGTTGCTCTTTTTTAGGTCAGTTCTTTCTTTTGTTTAGATTTGACTCGAGATTTACCTCAATTATCTACACCTCTGCTGAAGTACCTAAGCAAATTAAACCATTTAAAGTGATGAAGGGAAAGGAAGTGGACGGAGCTTTAAAACAACTTATGCAAATAATTTCCTCCCTCTCCCACCTCTGTTCCCTTCAATTACTAAACTCCAAGACAAGCAACTGCTTCTCAAACGAAAAGTCTAGACTCTTAAGTGTGAATGAGAAAAAACCCCGTGGTTAAGCCCTGGCTTGCAGAAAACTAAAAATTTCAGCAAATCTGGAATGAAATGTTACTTTGTGAGTTATACAAAGCTTAGCAGCTGTTCCCAGCCAACATGAAACCCGAAAGGGGTGATGCTATCTTTATCTTCTACCTAGAGTTAAAGCCGGTACTGTCCAGGACAGAGCTGCCAAGGAGCTGTCTCAGTTCTAGTCTGCTGAACACAAAAGACAAAGAAGCCAAGGGAATACATGGGCCAGCAAAGGACACCTAAACAACAACAAATAATAGACCCACCTGGAAGAAAGAAAATGCAGTTAATAATTAAAAAATTTAAAAGGATGCAAGTTCTTAATGTCACTTGGAAAATCCTTTTCAATCAGTTCAAAATTCAAAAGATTAAATCACATCTAACTCTATCTGGATTTCCCAAGTGCAAGGGGAGGAAACTATTTTATCAGGTTTCTTGGAAGGGAAAACACATTTTCTCTATTAAAACTTAAGTCCTGGCCGGATGCTGTGGCTCACGCCTGTAATCCCAGCACCTTGGGAGGCTGAGGCAGGCCAATCACCTGAGGTCAGGAGTTCGAGACTAGCCAGGCCAACAGGGTGAAACCCTGTCTCTACCAAAAATATGAAAATTAGCTGGGTGTGGTGGCACAGGCCTATAATCCCAGCCACTCGGGAGGCTGAGTGAGGCAGGAGAATCGCTTAAACCCGGGAGACGGAAGTTGCAGTGAGCCAAGATCGTGCCACTGCACTCCAGCCTGGGCAACAGAGCAAAGCTCTGTCTCAGACAAACAAACAAACAAAACAAAACTGAAGTCCAGCTCATAAAGACTTCATAGAAACCTTCTTCAGACCACCTGATGGAATCAGGCCTCAGATGAGCATCTCAGGGCAGGCAGATGGATGATGGAAAAAGACCAAAGAAGAATCAAAAGGGAGGGTGATGAGAACAGGGCCTTTCTTCTCATAAGCCTGAAAATTACACATAGGTTAACTGAAGAAAATATTCTTCTAGTGCGACTGAACTATCTCCCTCTGAGAAACCACTTCCCACTAGGCCCCTTCGTTCCGCCCCTAACAACCCCGTTCTATTTATTGTTCAGTTTTAAATGACTGGGCAGCTGCTGCCTAGCCATGCCCCTCTAGTATTGACCAACACTGTCACCAGCACCCCCCACACGTAAACCACCAACGAATGAAGCTCGTGGTAAGGGGGCTTAACTTGGAATGTGAACTGTCACCAGCACACCACACTTCCTGCGAACTCTGACAGACTGTCTCCATTCAAGAAAAAATGAAAAGACTACCTTAAGGCCCGGTGGGTAACCACCCAAAGATGAACAAGCGGAATTGCATGGTAGTTAAGGAGTAGGCTCTGGAACCACATCGCAAATCCTGCCTCTACCACTTGCCAGCAGTGGTAAGTGGCCTGACCCTTAGACAGTTAGGGAACCTCTCAGTTCTGCAATTTCCTCATCTGTGAGATGGAGACAATAATAATACTGAAATCATATGACTGTTCTGAGAAATAGATTAGTCAAATCTATAAAGTGCTAAAACCTGTCTGGCACACATGATACCATCCCTCAGTGCTTTTTATTATCATATACATGCTCACACCTGAGCACACATACTGTACGTTCACATTAGCAAGTGTCTATTAGTCCTTCACGTCCCCAGTGATGAGTTCAACAGGTGCTACAAACATTGTACTCCCACTGGGCAGTCATTTTCAAACTTTAGTATGCACCTGGAGAGCTTATGATAACAGATTTCTGGGCCCCACCTCCACATTTCTGATTCAGCAGGGCTGGAGTGGGGCCTAGGAATCTGTGTTTCTAACAAGTTCCCAGGTGATGCTAATGCTGCTTGTCTGGGGACCACACTTTGAGAACCAAAGTGTCATTATGTTCTAGGCTTCAGGCCTAAGCTTCATCTAGTTTATGTGCATAGAGAACCTTATGGAGATGAAATGGAAAAGGAGAATAAAGCAAAGATGCTCACTGCTCAAAGAATATCCACATATTCTTCCATATTTCCTGGCAACCGTATACCTTTGTGGTCAGGCAGGTCACATGACTAGTCCTGGCCAATGAGCTGTGAGCACAAGTACCAGCCATCACTTCCAGACTGCAGCCTTTCAAAGTCAGTATGTAACCCACTAGCTCTTTCCTTGTGGTGGCAACCTGGAAGCATGTGTAATGACAGAGTAGCTATAAGACAAGAGCAGCCTGGATCCCTGGGTTACCACTTGTAAGGGAGCTATACTAGAGAGCTGCCAGACCTGCAGAGGATTCTACACCAACAAGCAACGGCACTTTATGGGTTGAGCCACTGGGATTTCAGGCTTTGTTTGATACTTCAACATAGCTTCGCTTAGCCTGACTTCATTATAAAGAGGATGCCCACATCATCAGTCTTAAGCCCAACCTATCAAACAGATCTGAGATATTTTATAAAATCAGCCAGAATTTCTACCCTACTCTCATTCACTTCTATTCACCAAAACAGATGAACTGTTTTTAACCTCCTATTTTCGGTCTGTTTCTCACTAACTAAAAAAATTATTTACTGCAACATGATTATGTACTAGTTGCTAATAATTTAGAAAGCTCAGTCCGCTAAAATGTATTAAAAATGTGAAAAGTAAATACATTGGAGGATTTGTGTGTGTGTGTGTGTGTGTGTGTGTGTGTATACCACTACTGGAATCCCTTGACTTTAATTGAGTAGGGAGGAGCAAGAGTAAAGGGTTTCAATTTTATTTATGTAATCACGTGTGGACTGATAACTTGTTTTGCCAAAACAGGAGAAAGTGATCTCTTTAAGGGCATCAGAATTTAACCACAAAGCTACTTTTTTTAAAAAAAAATAATAGTTCTACTAATCTAGGAACATTTTGCAGTTTAACATGTAGGTAATGAGCTGTCAACAGTATACAACTTACCAGACTGTGGAATGAAACATTAAAAATATTTTCCTCAAAAAAAAAAAAAAAAAAAAACCCTCTCACAAAGATTAATACCTCCTTCACTGTCACACACACACACCAAAACACATTACAATCCAGAACACCTCAATTAACAACTTAAGACTACAAAATTCATGAAATACACAAAATTAAAAGAATTGGGGAGAGGGAACTAAGAAGTATGTAAGAGAATCGCATAGGACCTTTCAGGTCTGCAGAGCAAAGCAGCACTTCTTTGGAGGGCTATCTTTTAGTGGGATTGACAACTAATCTCAAAGGTGGTGGAATTTCCTGCTAGAATTCTCTCTAGCACTTTCTACAGAGAGCACTGGAACAACTCCTTTGTGTACACACACACATTTTAAAAACTCACTTGCTAAGGAGCTCAGTGACTTCTGCTTCCCACTTAGCACTGGCAAAGCTAAGCACTGAGATGAAGGGACCCTGCTGCTCCTGGCCTTCTCAAGTTCATAGGCCCCTCCAGTGCCTCATTCTCTGGGTGTGTCACATTCCATCTCTTTAGGTACTTCCATGTGGCCAAAAAGGAAAGGAAAAAAAAGGTAAACACTCATGTGATGCATTTGGTCACATTTATAGCTCAGCTGTAAAATCAAACTTGAGAATAATAAAAAGGCCCCAATGCTAAAGGCTGAATTTCTTTCATATGTTTCATAGCTATTCAGCAACTGTTGGGTTTTTTGGTGAGTGGATTATTTTCTTCATTTCTGTCTTTCAGGAGACATAAAAAAAGTCAATTAACAATAATGAAAACCTAAAGATCTAACATTAGTGAAGGTCTATTTTTAAAATCATGTAATACACCACTTATAAGAAATTAGAGAGACCAAGAAAGTCATCATGTACACCCTAAAACAGGATTATTTCTGTACTTTTCATAAGGAGCTAACACTGAGAGAGGTTCCCTTAGGATACTGGAAACAACAGGAATAATGTGCAATTAGATACCAAGTGGACTTATACACACAGCTAAAAAACTCAGCATCACATCTTACTATCACTCTCCCATAAAGCCCCAGAACTCCCTATTATTTAGCAAGGTGATTTTCTAAAACTCATAATGCATCCTCAAATCAATGTCCTTGTGTATGTACCTACAAGGGAAATATAGTGAGAATATCCAACGTTTTGAAAACGAAAGCCATCTAAAAGTGATTTCACATAGTTTCTGTGATTTCACTTGCTTGGTTTATTTCTCCCCCATAGTCCTGTTCATCACAAGAGACACTCAAACTATAAGTAAATTCCTGGGAGCTTATAAATGATATGCTTTATACAGCCAAAATGTCCAAAAAGATTTGTGGTTTCAGACTTTTACACACTGTTCCCGTGTCAGTAATTGATTTGTGAGAACTTAACAAGATGATCTCTGCTCCTAGCCTCAACCTGGCAAGGCCACCTTCTCCCTGACCCTGCAGGGAACTGCAGTGTGTGCTCAGCAGTGGGGCTGCTGCCCATTGGCCTCACTAATGTTACCTCCCCTTTAAGCTCTACCAACTTGCACCTAAATCTCAGCCCATTCAAGTGTCATGTGCCTGCAATGTGCAACATCTATGCAGATGTTAAGGCCATGACCAAAACCAGTTCTCAGCGAAATGACTCCCAAGCCAGCACACCCCAAGCACTTTGAAGTCCCTGTTCTGCGTGGACTCCATAGCACAGAGGTTGCCAGGGCCTGCTGCTCCTGGGGGCTGGTTTGTAGATCATATGACTGCTGAAATCCCTTAGATAAAAGCAGGCATTGTCCACTTTTCCTTGAAATCTTGAAATCCTGGATAAGACCAGCAATCAAGTAACATTTCAATCCTCCAACAACCTTAAATCAATTGATCAAATTCTTCTCTTTGGGCCTCAGCTCCCCCCTTATACATAATACAATATCTAGTAAAAGCAATTTTAGTCAGTGTTTAAAGCAGACTGATTGCATTTATATTAAATAAAAGATAGGATTACGTGAAGGGGGCAAAGCTTTTAAAACAAACAATGAACCACCCAACAAATTTCCGCAGTATCTTTAAACTGCTCTGGAAGCATCAAGAGTATTAACTGAAAAAGCAGCTCCCTTCCCTCCTTCTCCATGTTCAGCCTCCAGCCGCACGGATGAGTTCTCTGTGCCTATGACTGATGCATGGAGGCTGATCTCCGGGCGGCCAGCAGCTGTTCAAATCCACGCCTGGATGCTTCGCTCACTGCACCTCCTGGCTCCACCACCCCAACCTCTCAACATGTGTCCTTGAGGCTCCGCCTACCCGGCGGATGTTACAAGCACACCATCTCAAATGCAGTCGCCATTGCAACAGGCTGCAGGTCGCTTATCACAAGGCACCGAAGACAAGCTCTTCCACCCTCGGCCACATCTCTCCTGCAAGCCCCCTCTGTGCCATCCCCACCCTGAAACAGTCAGCACACAGATCTGCCACTTGCTTCCTGGGAAGTCCTGGTTTTTCTTACTTTTCCATCTGCCCTGAGCATCTAACAGTCAGACAACGAATTCCTATTTCTGGTATGCAATTCAAGAAACAGAAATTAGTGGCATTTCCCTTGCCTGACAGTATGACCAATGTCTATACAACAAGAGAATACTTTCTACCTTCAGCATAGCAATCAGGAGGTATAGCTGCCATGCATATGCACAACTATAGTTTAATTTCAAAACTAATTAAAATTTCAAAGGGAACAATTTCTCTTATGGAGAAAAAACCCAAAACACACAAAAACCCTATCTGAATCAGGAACAGAAAAATTTATACCAACCTATATATGTTAACCATGCGTTACAGCAAACCTAAGTGCACAGAAGACTTAAATTCAGTAGTATTAAAAGCTAATATGACAATGTTTCAAATGTATCTATTAATCTGATTATTAAAACCTGGGTCCAGCAATGCTCCACACTTATGTATATAATATCAAACCACTTGAGAACCAGTAGCAGGTATTAGCAACTCTGGGGAGTTTTCAACCCTGGGATTTCCATGAAAATGTCCATTAATATATAACAAGGCCAAGAAAGAGTCTGGTATAGCACCATGGAGTGCTGAAGTGTTCTCTACCTATAAAATGGAACTACTGAGAAGAATAAAATTAGCAAATAACCTTGAAAAAAGAATAAAAAAAAAAAAAAACCAACCAGGCCAGGCGCAGTGGCCCACGCCTATAATCCCAGCACTTTGGGAGGCCGAGGTGTGTGGATCACCTGAGGTCAGGAGTTTGAGACCAGCCTGGCCAACATGGTGAAACCCCGTCTCTACTAAAAATACAAAAATTAGCCAGGCGTGGTGGTGCACACCTGTAATCCCAGCTACTCAGGAGGCTGAGGCAGGAGAATCGCTTGAACCTGGGAGGCGCCAGGTTGCAGTGAGCCGAGATTGCGCCACTGGACTCCAGCCTAGGCGACCAGAGCGAAACTCTGTCTCAACAAAAAACAAACAAAACCCAAAACCTAATAATTTCTGCTGAGTAAATACCTATTATTTTCCAAGTTAGGATTATTCCTCATGGCCAAAAAGCCATGTGGACACTATTCCAGGTGAGTTGTTCAATTCTGGGCACAGACATGAATTGTGGAAGAACACTGGGTAAAATGAAGACAAACTCATAAAAACAGAACAAGTCACCTCTCAAGTCCATTCCAGCTCTAAAATTCTATGGTTTTTTACAGTAAGTCTTAGTTGAGGGCACTCCTTCCTTCCAATTCACCATTTGATGGTTTAAATTTAACTTGAGACTTCCTTTAAGTTCAGTATTCCTTTTCTACAGAGACTATGTTTTCCAGGATGTCTATGACTTCTCTGGTACCTAGGGATCTTTGGTATCATTTGCTTTTAAAAATCCATGACATTTTATATATTCTTTTGGTGATAAATATGCACAATTCACATTAGGAATACAGACAAATGGCCAGGCGTGGTGGCTCACAACTGTAATTCCAGCACTTTGGGAGGCCAAGGCGGGCAGATCACCTGAGGTCAGGAGTTTGAGACCAGCCTGACCAATATGGTGAAACCCCGACTCTACTAAAAATACAAAAATTAGCTGGGTGTGGTAGCACGCGCCTCTAGTCCCAGCTACTCGGGAGGCTGAGACAGGAGAATTGCTTGAACCTGGGAGGCAGAGGTTGCAGTGAGCCGAAATCATGCCATTGCACTCCATTCTGGGCAACAGAGCAAGACTCTGTCTCAAAAAATAAAGGGAATACAGACAACCTGGTATGGTATTTGGACATCATCTGAATCTGTTAATGAATAACTTTTTTTCTACAAATCTGGGCAAAATATATAATATTTTAGTATATGTCTGACTATACTGAAAGGTTTATTCTAACACGTCATGTTAACTCATGAAGCAGCTGCACATCACTGAGGGGGAAGGAAAGTATTCAGAAATTAATTTTCCATATAAAACTCCTGGGTGTCAATCATTCTAAAGTATCTTTCAAACTTCCCTGTTTCCTTAAGCATAGCATGGTGAATCAATGTATGATTAATTCAGCCTTTTGTGGGGGTGACTCAGGATCATCACGATGAACAACTTACACTAGGCTGCCTCTGGAAACTAGTGACATACCCACCCCCCCCCACTTTACTTTTGCCACTGTACCACATGGCTCTGTTGGCCATGCTTGTTTTTCTCAATTGAAAATTTTCCTGAGATAATTGTGGATACACAGGCAGTTTTAAGAAATAACACAGAGGGCTCCTCTGTCCAGTCTGTGAAATTCCCCCAATGGGAATCCGCCATGCCGTTTGAATTCTTGTCTCATCCCCTAACATCTTTTCTGCTTGTTGTCAATGTGTCTCCTTCTGATGGCTTTTTTCCATCCCCAACATTGGCCTCAGAAATGTAGACTGGAAAATGTGAGACAAGGTGGCCAGGGCTGTATCTACAGTAAGAATAAATAGTGCTGAAGTGCAGGCCTAAAGGATCAATGGGAATCAAGGTAGGAGTGTTAGTACCAGGACTTCCTAACACCTTTGTGGCTTTGAAAACTTTATTTTACATACCTCTCCCCCCACGTATACCCTGCTGGCTCTCACTCACTCGCAAGCACATCGGCTGAATATTCTGGACCGAAGAATGCCAAATAAGCGACCTCTACATAAGCAATATACTACTTTTGAGTCAGCTAGCTAATCAACTGCTATATCCACAATGGTAATTGGCAATCCAGCAGTGTCCAGTGTCTTACTGTGAATACTGTCTACCAAGCCAATAATAGTTTGGAATGAATACACGCAGCTTAAAACACAAACTTTTTTTTTTTTTTCCTGAACTCACTGATGTTTCTGAGGAAGTTTTAACTTATCAATCACTGGTACTATGGAACAATTTAATTACCTAAGTTGAAGGAATGAAGTTATAAGAAAGATACAATGAAGAGCATTATGAATGTGCTTTAGAGACTTCAGTAAATAAGAAAACTGTCACTTTGTTCTCCTACTGCATTAGGAACTTCTCAAACAAAGAAGCTTGATGGAGGCAGACAGAGAGGGGCTTATCAGCTTAGGACACGGGATGGATGGTACAATTAACTGTCACACAGTCAGATATAATTCACTCTGATGAGGCCAGAGAAAGAAAACAAGGCAAAGAAAGGGCTCATCTTGTCCCTTTAGGTAATATCCAAATATCCCAGCACGGAAACCATCTTTTCCTCAAAGGTTATCTACACACGTGGCCTGAGAAGAAAGGCAGTAAGCCTTTGGGGAGTTGGGGAGAAGGAAGGAAAAGAAAACAGGAGGAGGAAAAAGGAAGACCTCTTTTCTGAACCACAAATGCCTCATGCTGCGCACTCCAAGCTGAAATGCAGTATGGTAGGTATTCTAAGGGGGAAAAAAACAACTACATTTCTTTCCTATTACTGATTCCTCTCTGCTTCACAGACCCAGCTCGGCCAAGTGGAAAACGGCTGCCATGAGTTCTGCAGAAGCTGCATGTCTTGCCCTGGCAGTCTGAAGGTGAAGCAGGCTTCAGAGGTGGACAGCTCAGGGAGAATCCAGAGAGGACACAGAAAAGCACACCAGGGCACCTTCTCCACGAGCCACCCACAGTCCATTTTACAGGCTAGAGCTCACCCTCTCAAAGTTAGAAGGTGCTCCAAAAACAGCTGGAGACTGGAGACCATAAACTACAAAATGCATGTGATGTTAAGATACTAAGAAAAGTACGGTTTCATTCTAAAACAGATGCACACAGAGAATTGTTTCTTCTGCCATGACAATACAGTTCCTTAGCTTTCAGAGTGCCAGACAAACTAGAATCAGAAACATCTTCCAACCAGTGTGAAGATGGAAGGAAAAAGAGCTCCTTTTCCTCTCCCTCCCCCACCACCTCCTCCCCACCAAAAAAAAAAAAAGAAAGAAGAAAGCCACGACACACCAGAAATAGCCTATGTGAGTCTGCTTCTAACAGCCAAAGGATGTGTGCACTATGAGCGGCTCCCTTGCAATGTGTGTTATAGTGAGCTCAAACATGACTATATATGGTATGTTTACGGAGTGAATGGACACAAACACGAAGCAGAACTTATATCAGACCCAAACTGGCTTTTAAAGAGCTCGGTTCCTCCACATTTATGGCCACAAGACGTCCCCTAAGTCAGAGCTAACTGTGGATACTTCCAGCAGTAATGTCTCCTGACTTGCTGGCACCGAGTTGCAGTGACTCCACCTCACTGCCCTCCCAGGCTGTCTGCGTGTGCACACACTTCCTTCTCCGTCCCCACCTCGCCTCCTCCCCTCCCATCTCCTGCTTTCCCCCTCTCAGGCCATCTACCCCCGGTCCCACAGAGACATAAATGCACATTCAAGAATGCTGCTGCTGAATGGGGCCTATGTTACATGACAGAGGGCATGGTAAGCGGGCCACAGACTGCTCTAGAAACAGATGGCAAGGCTGAGGCCCACAGCCGCTGCCTGCTTCTCACACAACAGGCTCCACAAAGTGTTTTATTCACATCCATGTTCTGCCTAGAAGGAAAGCCAGATACTGAAGTGTGTGTGTGTATCTGTGTGTGTGTGTTGGTGGGGGGAGTATAGTCTGAAGATGTATTAAAGTCCTGGGGGGCGGTGGGGAGACGGTGCGCAGAGCAGGAAGGAGAGGGATACGGAGAGGTGGCGTAGGGGGTAGGGAAAGAGAGAGAGAGAAAGAGAGAGGAAGGCACTGGCTTTAACAGTCTTGCCCAACCTGTTCTGCGGTATGTTCTGTTAACTCCTTTCTGGCAAATAGATGCAAACAGCAACCCCTTTCTTCCCTCTTCTTCTCCCCACAGGCATAGGGGCAGCTACAGGCAGAGAAAAGTCCCAAAGAAAAAGACGGGGCCCATTACTGGCTGAAATAAACCCATAATTTTGGTCATCTAGTATAAGACTTCCACTATCAGCTACTGGGGCTGACATTTCACTGGAAACTACCAACCTCACAGGCCCTCTCCATCTCCCAATTCTCCTCCTGACCCTGCAAAATAGGTTAATCGAGGTTAGGTCCTCTAAAATAGATACATGGAAATTAGGCTGAGCTAGGTCCAGTTTTCACGCACTTGAACAAAGCACTAAGGTGAGAAGGAAGCATCAAGTTCTTTTCTTCTTCTTCTTCGGTTGACATTAGGCATTTACAGGGTTAATAAGGGCAGCCTGAAGACCAGAAATTTACCTGCTTAGCAACAGAAGCATCAGCTAAGCTGTACTGGTTGTTTTGATACAGGAAAAGCAGTTTCTACCTGGTGAAAATTCCTGGTGATGTTTCAGTTGCCATTTTAAGCAACACACATACTAATCACAGGTAGAAGCCAGCAAGAAACTATGGGAAAAGGAGAAAAGTCCAAGGAGACTTTGCTCAGTTGAAAGGTCCAGGTCAAAACCAACCACCAAAACATGCGACCACACATGTAAACCTGCTCTGAAAATTACAACAGATCAGAGCTGAGAAAACTGCTCTTGGAAGCACTAACACACAAGCTCGTTTTCCCTCTAACTTGTTGTTTATGGCTGCTTTGTCTTCACATGGACCTTCAAGATTCTTCAGGTAGTGGAAAGAATGGGTGTCTTTTTTAATCATAAAAAGACAGATCTTCCCCTCTACACGGTGAGACGAAGAAGAAAGCATGACTCTCACAAAAGATTACACTTTCCCCCCTTAACTATGTTTGTATGTCGCAATTTTATAAAAAATGCAGATGTAACCCAGGGCCTTCATAACCTCGCTGAAGGACAACAAATAAATATATCTACTTCAAAATTCAACTACAGAAAGCTTCTTCATTTTCAACAAGTGACTGTTTCATTTTTGGAAGCTCCAGGATACCAAGGCACATAGAGTTGGTTGCTGTAAGATGTTTACTGCTGCCTTAACAGAAATGTATCTCCTTGGGAGAAGCAAGGCCTAAAAGCAGTTAGAACTGACAATTTGAACCAGTTGTTGAATATGTAAAGCACAGTAGAAAAAGATTAAAATATACTTCATTAACTAAAATACAAAGAAATAGAAATAATTTGTGAAAAAAAAAAAAGGAATAATGTCAATGTATACAACCAGAGAACACAGCACCTATATAATTACACAGGGCCAAAGAATGTCTATGTGAGAAAAACAAAACAGAAGTGAAAATCCTAACATTAATGCTATCACCTTTGGATAAGACCATGTTTCAAGAGCAGAAGAATGAGAAATTAAACAGTTACTTATAAATACTCTTCAATACCACATTGTAAAGTTTGGTTTTGACAGTTTCCCTTAAATTCAGTTTTAAAAATTAAGTTTCACATTATAATATAGTTGACAAATTAAAATTGTATATGTACAGTGTACAGGTGAGGTTTTGATACATGTATACATTGTGAAATGGTTAAATCAAGCTAACATATCTATAACCTCATATATTTATTTTTTGTTATGAGAACATTTAAGATCTTAAGTTCTAAACTGAAAACATTATTTGTGCATAAAGCTCAAAAAGAAAAAATATAATGACTTAGGAAATAATAAAACTTTCTAACTTCAACCCAATTTAAAGGAAAATTTGGAAGTCACATGTTTGAGAATATAAAAAAAAAAGTGTGCAAAACCAAGCCACAAAAACAATTCCCCCTTTAATAAAGTAAAATACTTGCACTTATTCAGGATCCCTAGACCAACAGTTTGAGCAAATTAAAACCTTATTTCTGAAACTTACATTTGAAAAAATGTAAGTTGGGTCAAAGAAATTCTAGTGTGGACAAAATGGTGGTATTTAAAGCAAAAATTTGGCCTATGCAAAAAAAAAAAAAAAAAAAGAAAGAAAAAAAGGCTGCAGTGATGCACACTGGTCGCCGGCAGAGTGGGCTGCAGAGGCCAGTTGTATCTAACAGTTGTGCTCAAAACAACAAATGGTGCATTCATAAACTGCAAAAGCAGAGGCTGTTCAGAGGCTGTAAAGTCTGCACCCGAATGATGAGCAGCCGACTTTGCTGTTGTTCCACAGAAAGGGAGTGAAAAAAAAGGACTGAATTCAGTTAGAAGCACAGGCTGTCACTTCAGCGGTGGCAAAACGGTCTAGATAAAGAGGCCCCAAGCACCATTTACTCTCTTCCAACAGGAGCTGGGTCTAATGATAATTGAGTCAACACCTCTACCTAAGATAATACTGCAAGAGCCAGTGTCGGGGGAAAGCCCAACTAGAAACCAGAACATGCACCTCCCCACACCCTTCTTGGTTTAAGAAAACATTCAGCACCACAAAACGCATAGTCTCAGACCAAGGGAGTGAACGACCATAGCCTGATTACCTGTGACACTGCCTCTCCATGCCCTTAACAAAAGAAACATCTGGTACCAGCTACTCAGCATCCCTGAAAACTGTCAGAGTTCCAACTTCTTAAAAAATTAATGAGCCGCATTTACACCTGCCAGTGCTGAAGGCCCATCAGGGCTAGCATAGGAACCACAATGCCTCACTTAATAGAAAACACTCGGGTTTGCAGCAAGCAAGCAAGCCAGCCAGCATCAGATGGGAGAATTTCCTTATGTATCATTTCCTAACCCTTTTAGCTGTATTTTCCCCAAAAATCCCAGTGGCTCAAATGTATTCATTTGTCTCAAGACAAGTTTCCAACACAAATGTAAAAGTGACCTGTTTCTAACGCAGTTTTGAAAGCTTTATTAGGGCTTTGTATTTGCATCGCCTGGGAAGCTTCCAATGCCCCAGCCACTGGTTCATGCTCCACCAGAACCTCCTGGAGAGGGGTCCCAGCATGTGTAGAAGAGAAAAGTTATCCCCCCATGAAGAATGAAGAATCACTATTAAGAGAAAAGCGACCACCAAAGGTGGTGCAGCAAAAGTGAGGTAAGTCTCAAAGTGGAAAGAGGGGGTGCCACGTAAAGTCACTGAACTCATTCTAGGGTCCTAGAGTGGCCGGTGCTGGGGTCCTCCCTGCCCGGCCTTGGGGCAGAAGTCAGTGCCCTGGCTTGGTAAGCTAGCCCCACGTGGCTCCGCCCATCACATGGCTGCAGAGGCGCCAGCTCATGAAGCGGGCCTGCTGGGGGTCAAGCCTGACCCCACGAACTGTCTCAGACTAAGGCAGGGCACACTCAGCAAGGCGCCTGGCAGCAGGCAACCTTTAGCCACCGGAACAGCCTGATGGTTACCAAACAGTGACCTGCTGCCCTCACCGGTGATGTACTTCCAGTACAGAACATCGAGAAACTGCGTCCTGGAGGGAGACTTGACACCGAGGGCAGGCGGGAGGACACAAGGGCGTCCAGCTTTGCGGGGGGACGCACCCGGTGGTGCCGAGGGCAGCGCAGCTGGGAAGGGCATGGGAGCCGGCTCTCGGAGGAGGGTGTAAAAGCGGAAGCCACGAGAACTGGCTGGGTTTTGTGTGGTCCTCCACCTCCATTCTCAGAAAATAGCCTTTTTTTTTTTTTTAAATTAAGACGGAGTTTCACTCTTGTTGCCCAGGCTGGAGTGCGGTGGCGCGATCTCGGCTCACTGCAACCTCCACCTCCCAAGTTCAAGCGATTCTCCTGCCTCAACCTCCTGAGTAGCTGGGATCACAGGCGCACGCCACCACGCCCAGCTAATTTTTGTATTTTTTTTAGTACAGACGGGGTTTCACCATGTTGGCCAGGCTGGTCTCGAACTCCTGACCTCAGATGATCCGCCTGCCTGGGCCTCCCAAATTGCTGGAATTACGAGCGTGAGCCTATGGGCGAGGGCCACCGCTCCCGGCCCAGAAAACGGCTCCTTTTAGAAAGGAGAGGCAATTATCCAGCCCTCTGCGGAAAGGGCCAGAAAGGCCCTGCTTCCTGGCCCGGCCACCCGGCTGCCCGTTCTCCTGGGCTCTGTCCTACACACGCCCCGCTCCTTCCAGGTTCACTTTGCCGCAGGCAAGTGTCTGCACCCCTCCTCCTCGTCAAAAAAGGCTTAAAGGAGCATTTTCTAGATACGTGGTTTTTCTTTTAAACAAAAGTTTTTGGAGCTACCCATCATGAAATACCCTGCTACATGTTTTTATTCTGAAATAGCCATCGGGGAAGCCAAATGTTTCAATGGGGACTTATTTGGGGAAATAATTACATAATGCGAGTGGGCATGCTCATGTCTATGCAAATCTTGTGAAAATTTAAAAGTGGTCACAGGCTAAATGCCCTCTAGCCAAAAAAGGCGGGGGGGCGGGCACGGGTTCGCTCCAAGCACACTCATCTTCTAATCTTTCCCTAAGAGGAATTTATTATTTTTAAGGAGCTGAGTTGCTAAAGGCATCTCTGAAGAGCTCCGGTTGTTCATTAGGTTGTGTCCCCAGCGGCCGTGCCCTTCGCAACTGAGGAAAGTGCGGCAAGATCCGCTGGAAGACGCGGCTCTACTCACGGGGGAACGCCAGCGCGAACGAACACCGAGCCCCGCCCCGCCCGGCCCCCGCCAGCCCGCCAGCCAATCGGCGCCCGCCGCCCTGACTGATGGCCTCGCTACCCGCTCACCGGACACCCACCGCGGGAGCCCTGGGGGCGGCCCGAGGGGGCCCCTGCGGCCGTGGAGCCCTGACGCGGGCAGTCGGCTGCCCGGTCCCAGCCTGAGGAGGGCACAGACAGACCCTCGAGGCCCTGGGAGGGCCGCCGGCCGCCTTCAGCTGTGCGAACACAACTCTACTCAGACCGTGTTCCCGAGGCACAATGGCTGCCCGCCTCTGAGGGAAGGCACCCGCAGTTTTCCCCTCGCCCCTCCCCAGAAACAGAACAGGGTGAAAAGGCCGTCCGGGGCGGGGCACGGGTCACCCACGCTGGCGCTCGGGGGCCAGCGCGCGCGAGCCACCACACGAAGCCTGGCGCGTGCAAGCCCACCTGCGAGCAGGACCAAGTCCACTTTCAAGTTTAGGGACACCACCCTAAGGAACAACTCTTGTTCTATCTTCGCAACTTTCCACTTCAGCCTTAGTCATGGGGCAGATCCCGAACCCGCTGTCCAGCTAAGGAGTAAAAGGCGAGGACCAGCGGCTTCAAACCTATTGGATCGGAGGGGCAGGAGGAGAATAATTTTTGTCAGTAATTTCTCAAATGTTCGTGTCCTTTTCTCTAAAAATAAGTACAGATCACATTCCTGTTTTCGAAAATGATAGGCAAAAGTTGGGGAACATTACATGATATCCAAAACACGTTTATTCTATATCTGTGTTTCAGATTTCATCTTTTAGCACTTGGTTTACGAGTTACTGTGCTAACTCCAGAAACGAAATAGATTATCAGAAGGCAATCCTGAAAAATCTTTGAGAAAAAGGATATCCCTATAAAATTCAAAGGAGTCTTAAGAATCACCACGATAAGTGTTGCATTACGTCTTTGATAGGGCCTTGAGAATCTTTCATCCTAGAAGGCAGCCCTGAATAAAACTTTTTTTAATTGAAAGAAAAAAAAACCATGTTTTAAAGTCACTTGCCTTGCCAATCAGCATCTGAACAAATGTTTTAGCTTCAGTACATACAAAAGCTGGCAAAGACGCCGTGTGGCAGGCCCACATAAAGAGATTTAAAGTGTGAAGCCTGATGGTCTTTCCCCTAAATTCTCAATAATTAAAAAAAATTCAAAATCCATGTGACCTTGGACTCTCTCATTTTCATCTGTCTCTTGCAGTACACTCTCTTTGCTAACCATTCAGCACACTGCAAGCTCTGATAAAAGTAGTTAATGTTTACTGAAACCTGCGCATGAACTGTACTAAACCTGATAGGAATGAAAAAGGCAAAGTTCTGTTAACAGCATCTATGTACAATAAAAAGGGTGGGTGGGGGAAAGGACCAAGAAGGAATTTTTTTTCTAGTCTGAATCTAAAAGTTCTGACTGATAAAATATAAATTTCCAAAGTCTAATGGAGTCAATATATATCACCAATTAAAAGATACTTTTAATCTAATCTTTTTGGAAAATTTTGAACACAAATATACCTGAATGATTTTACAGATTTTGTTTTTACAGAACTTAAATCTGTTTATATTTCATATTCTCATACTTTTTTTTGAAGGCCCAACTACCTGATCAATAACCAATTCAGTTATATTGTCGAATATTTATTTGTTTGAATAGCTACACATAGGTTATAGCAGAACTATTTTATGCAAAAATAAATTTAACATTTCAACAGTTATCTATTTTTCTCCCCTTAACTCCAAATGTAAAGTTAACTTCAGTCAAACCAGATCTTTAATTTTAACATTTACCATTACATTCACTCAAAGTATATTGAGTTAAACATCAGAACCTACTGATATTTTTAACTTACTGATACTGTCTTTTCCTCCCATTTCTACACTATCCCTTTTTCTCCAATTACCTCAGTTAAAATAAAATTTCAACTTACAAACATATACATACACACACTGTACCCAGAACAGGATGCTCTCAGGTGTCTGAAGCCAACTTTCTCTCTCCCCCATCCCCCCTCCCACCTTTGCTTAAAGGGCAGCAATAGAACCAGTCACCTTGGAAACAAACATCACTCAGTGTTTGCAGAACAAACAATGGTACCTTTTCAGCCAGTACCAGGCAGGCAGGGCAAGGGGCAGCCAAGCAATTCTGGGCCTTACAGGAGTGTTAACATATTGTATTCATTCAGTGCACGAAAAAGTAGTTCAGTACTAAAAGTGAAATGTTCTCACATGTGTGAACCTTTGGCTAGAAACCATACACAAAAGTGAGTAAGGTTTAGAGTCAAATAAGGCTACCTACTAAGTTAGAAAAAAAATCTTTTCATTATTTTTGTAATTGTTTTACGTAACTCATGAATAAGGTAAACTATACTCTTATTACGGAGGATTACCTTCTCCAGCAACTAGGAACAAGTTACTTTTAAAAACAAAACAAAAAAAGTGTCATCTAATTGCTCCCATGAAACAATCATATTCATGTCACTTTTGTCCCAATATGCTAGCATATATTGATTTTTAAATGTGTATACTGGTGGGTGCCTTAACCCACTTGTGAATTTCTGGTATTAATAAAGAAATACGAGTGTGAGCTAGAAAACTGTCAATTTTCAGAGCACTGTTTAAAACAGGGCCAAACAGATACATAAATCTATAAGAGCTTTGGATAACAACCACCACTTTGACCTTGGATTACAATGACTAAACTTTCATTTTCTGAAGACTTACAAAAGCTAATCATTTGGGGTAGCTCAAGTTTGAGGGGAGATTCTTTTGTTACTGTTTTTAAAAAGCTCAACTGGATAGTTAATTTAAAAAATATTCAAGTGTCTTTCAGATCCTTCAGAATGAAACTTCAAAATGTTCAACGTAACAGTTTCCTCCCTATTCTGGGTGTGTGCCGAAGTTTTCCTTCCCACCAATTAAGAGAGAAGGCTGGGCCCAACTGAATTATTTGGACAGGAGTTTGATGTCAGTTAAATACCACAGTAACTGGCATTTTCTATCACCTCCAGACTAAAGGACAAATGCCTAATTAACATGGACCAACATGCAGCTTAAACTGGAAAAGTGCCTGTCCTTTTTCTTTCTTTTCTTTTTTTCTGAAAGATTTAGGTCTTTAACATCCTTGAGTTAAAGTGCACAAAGGGTGTCTAATGCCATCTGACTGAGGTGTAAAAGTCTAATTAACTAATGCTTTTTGCAGTGATAGTAAATCAGTTAACATTATTAATCTTCCTGACTAGGCGTAAGTGAGTGAGGAGGGCTATTGAAAAGGAGCTAAACAGTTAGACTGGGTACCCTTGAAAAAGAAAAGGAACTCTGAAAGTGATGACTGATGATACTGAAAATAACTGAGATACTTAAAATCCAACCGCTCGCCGGGCCTACCACCAGGCAAGAGACTCTGAAAGCTGAGGCTGCAGCTCCAGGGCAGGGAGAGGAAGAGGAGGAGCTAGGCGGCCGTGAAATGACTCTCATCTCCCATCCTTCCCTCCCAGCATCACCGAGAGAGACACGACTCTCACGTGCTGGAGGCTTCCCTGCCTTAAATTAACGCTGTACCTTTCCAACTAATGTTTTCAGTAGACCAAACAAAAGTTTGGAGTAGTTTGAGCAAATGACTCCAACAGTGGAGCCAGTTAGGCTAGTTTCAATTCATCAACAACTATCTTAGCATCTGGCTTCTTAGTTTCATCTGCCTATGTGTTTGGCATCCAAAAATGCGCATGCATATCATACTCATGTTAGCAAACCATACTTTATCAAAGGCACTTCCTGCATGTAAACATCTGAAGAGAAAAGGCCAACAGCCAAACAATTTCTGTACCAGGGCTTGGTCTGTCTGTCCTGAGACAATGGCAGTAACTGCAGTCATGCCCTCCACCCTCTTTTCTGGATTCCAACCCTCTATTCCCTGCCTCCCTGTACCCGAGTCTATAAGGCAGCTCCTTCCCTGGGGGCTCAGGGGGGAAGGGAGAGGCATCAGGTCTAGCAGGCACTCTCTTGGTCCCTTGCCTGCTCCTGCCGCCTCCACCCAGGCCTTCCCAGGAAAGCCAGGGGACAGGACTGCTCAACTCCTGACAGCAGCTGGATGTGACGAATTAGCTCTGGGCTTTGGGGAGGGAACTCCCCATGTTGAGGCACTCCCGTCGCCAGATCCTGGGTGATGACCCTAAACCCAGCAAGCTTCCTCCATCTTCTCGAAGAACATCTCAAAGGAGCAGAGTTGGAAAGGGAAGTGAAAGAGGGAGGCCAGGTGCCGCGGTGGCTTCATCTTTTCCCCTCCTCAATATTTCTATCAAGTTTCTGTTTCACTGCCACCTCACATAAGGGGGATATGAACCTATGCATACCTTTTTAATAAAATTCTGAGGCAAACACAACACGTTTGGTTAACGACGGGCTTTCACAAGCCACCTGATAATAAAGAACTCTTGAAAACATCAGGCTTCAGAACTCAGTTCATCCTGAATAAAGATATTTATGCTTTATTTATTGTTTTAAATGTCTTTAGAGGCTGTTATTTGTTACTTTGCACACCATTATACCTAAAAATCACCTCTTCTGTTCAAAAAGGTAGGTTCAAGAGAAAACTTTTCATTTGTACTCCTAAGTTAATTATATATTCATGACCTCCTCCTCAAATAATGTCTCAGGCTGAGGGTAGTGGCTCATGCCTGTAATCCCAACATTTTGGGAAGCTGAGGATAGCGGGTTGCTGGAGCCCAGGAGTTCGAGACCGGCCTGGGCAACATAGCAAGACCTTATCTCTATTTAAAAATAAATAAATAAATAACATCTCTTACAAAATCCTGTTTACTATTATCTCCATATTGCCTAGCCATTGGGATCTGAAGCTACTGAAGGGGGGAGAAATCCTAGCCAATTAAACAATTCTTCAAAACAAACTAAAATCCTTAAGATATAATTTATAACTCATTTCAACTTTTTAAAATACGGGCATTACTGACATCTATAAACAAAGGCAAGAGAGAAGGTGCAGATGAAGTCCCTTTTCAAATCAAACTTCTACTCAAATCAGAATTGTAAAATTGTTTTAGAATTCTTAAAATAAAGTTTGGTGGGTTTTTTCCCCCAGAAACCTGTGTGAGGTCAGTTCCATCAAAAGTCATCATCACCCCTGATCACCTCCTCAGACATGGGAATCTCACTCAGCTGAGACCAACAGTTGGAGGAGGTACTGGTCCCATTGTACAGATGGTCACAGCCCTTTAATTGAGGTCAGCTGACTTGCTTAGTCATATGCCACCTCTCTCACCAGGTCCACCACAGGACAGTAATTTCTCCCTGCCTGTGTAGTAAAAATCCAGCTTTAGTATCAGCAGAAAATCCAAACAATGTGATCTTCCCAAATCCCATTCTTTCCTGTGCTCAGTTGATCCATACTTACTGTCTACCTGTTTTGCTAAGTCCCCTAGAGCAACTTGAAAGGGCTATAAAAGCTTGAAATAAAGATCATGTTAAATGTTTTTGAAAATATACAGATGGCACATAAAACTTAAACGGAATACCTGCTCCCAGTCCCAAGTCCTAGACAAAGGTAGAATACTAAGATGCTTTTCCTGTAGCTAACAAGCACATCAGAAATGAGGCAGTCACCTCCCCTGCCTGCATCTTGGAGAGTTAAGTGGTGCAAGAATGCTGTTGTTGTCAGAACCAGAAGAACAGCAATGAAAGAGGCATCAGCTGTGGAATAACCACAGCTAAGCCACTAGACCCCATTTGAAAAAAAGGAAAATGGAACCACAAGAGAATGAAGTCAGGTTTTTCAGAAAGGTCTCAATCTACCAGCTGGTCTTTTGGCTGCTGCCCTGCCTAAAAGCAGCTTTCAGAATGCTTAGAATTTCCCTGGATTTACGGTCCTAATCCTTTATATGGTACTTTCCAATAGCTTCCATCCTTACAAAGGTTTTTGTTTACGTTTACTGATTAAAAAGAAAGAAAATGCTGCCCATGGGTATCATTGTGTCACCTCCTAAGAAGGCACAAGGAAGATAATTCTACCCATTTTAGAGATGGAAAAACCAAGGTGTGAAGTATATCTTTTTCTGTTTTAATCATAATCAAGGTTGGGCTTGCATTCAGGACCTTACGTTAGTCTCCTAGCTAACAAACCCAGTCCTCTCTCTAATAGATCACAGTAGATTAATTAAAAGGGCCAAGGGAGAGTCATTAAGTATGTCCAAATGTTTCTTACAATCTGGCTGATTGCATTCTCTTTCCCAATAGAATTCTTTGAAATGATGAGGAAAATGAGGTGATATCAAGGGCTGCTCTGGAAACCGTTCAGTGTATGAACAGGTGGAAGAAAATATATCTTCCTAACTTGTCATACAGTGGCGTTTAGCTCTAGTTACAGAACTCCACTTGCGGTTCAGAACTAGTCTAATCGTTATTTTCCTGACATTAGACTTTAGGGTTACATATGCAGGATCTGTCTTCCTCTAGGGCAGGGGCCCTCCAGGGAGCTATTTCAAGGGATCCACTTATTCATTTGCTCATCAAGCATCTAGAAATCAATTAAATTTACACATATATGTACAATTATTTTGCAAGTATATGAAAATGCTGCTGTATTTAATAAAGATAAGTGCCACTAAAATGTCGATAGAGTTTTTCTGTCATTAGAGCTTCTCAACAGAATCTAAAAAAATAATTAAAATCACACTTGGTCTGGAAATTTTTTACATTAAAAGAGTATCTTACATTTAAAAAGATGGGGAATAATTGCTCTAGAATGTCCAAATAACATGACATTGATTAAAGAAAAACATCCAGTAAAAATACAACCACAGATAAAGGACACATCACATCATTCCTAACATTCACAACACAGTGCCCTATGTAAGAGAACAAACACCTTCCTCTCAAGAGAGGCCAACCCTCTAGCGAAAGGACTTTTTGAACTGCTCAATTTGTTTTTCATCAGTAACCCTCACGGGTTTGGGGTAATAAGACAGATCACATGCTATCCAAAAATAAACACACACATTTTGTCAGTTCAGTATTTTTCTCTTTAAAATAAATTTCTGATGAACTACATATTCACAATTTACCATAAAAAGTTTAATACTATGTTGGTTTCATGTAACCTAGAAGATAGGTTCCTTCACTCACACAATGAGTGCCCAGGGAATGCAAAATAATTATAACATTAGCCTATGACCCTGCCCCCCAAAATTATGCCACATCAAAATGTGATTTTCATGTTCAAGAATATTTGAATACACCAAAAAAGACTTGTCATATCATATTAAAATTGTAAAACATATGGTATAAAGACATGTACAAAAATGGGTTTTATTGTCCACAATAAATCCCATTTTTGTAATATGTGTATATATCCATAGAAAACCACCTAAAAGGAAATAGTAAAGTATCAACAATGATTTATCTCTGACTTGTGGGCATAAACAATTTTACTTTCCTTTTTCCTTTTTGCATCATTAGATGTTTTTTCCTTTGGGTTCATTTATAATTCTTCTATTATGGGCATAGGTGCAGTGAAATAATTAAAATTCTGATGAAAAAATAATTTTTAATCCTTAGGACTATTTATAATCTTAATTTAGGATAACTTGTTTTTTCTTCATATTCCTTCTTATTATGTACAATGAATAAGAACATTCATTCATTCATTCATTTACTTATTTAGAGATGGAGTCTCACAATGTTGCCCAGGCTGATTTCAAACTCCCAGGTTCAAGCGATCCTCCTGCCTCAGCCTCCCAAGTGGCTGGGACTTCCCGGGTGTGCCATGGTGCCTGGCTAAGAACATTTTATGATGGGTAAAAAACAATGTTTAAACAGTCCTGATTTTGATGTATTGGCTCTTGGTGGATTATTGATACAATCTGCTACTAACATCATAGTAGGAATAATTGTGGCTCCACCACAAAAGTTCATACAAGCCCGTCCAGGCACCTGGATTTGGCAGGGTGAGCTGATGTCTAAGAGAATGTGACATGCAAGTCCAGAGTTCCACATCAAGCCTGCCCCCTGCATCTCTCCAGGCCTCACTTTCCTCACCTGTAAGCTAAGGAGGTATAAGGAAAAGAAACGAACCATGCTTCCCTGAGGCCCCTTCCAGTGCAATGCTCTACGATTGTAAACAGGGAAAATGCAAATATCATTTAATCAAATCTTGCCAGTCATAACCCACTTGTC
This sequence comes from Homo sapiens, assembly GCF_000001405.40. NCBI lineage: Eukaryota > Metazoa > Chordata > Mammalia > Primates > Hominidae > Homo > Homo sapiens. Next base: position 7,133,042 of record NC_000006.12, on the reverse strand, counting down.
GACTTGCTCAGGATAGATGTGAACTCCTATCACCAATTTGACTACTTGTATTGCTTGATGGATAGTATAGCAAAGATAGAAACACTGCATTAATTAAACATGTTTTTAAAAGGTTTCCATGGCTCACAAATTTTCAAGTTTCCTTATCTGTGTGGCAACCCTACCCAAAATGAGGGCACATGCAGAAAAGAAGCTCCAACCACAACAAACACAGTCACTTACTGAATGTTGACATTGTATACCAGACACGGGGTATTTATAGTGTGTTATATTACACTCTACAATCCCATCACTTAGGTCTAATGACTTCCATTTTATACCTGTAAAAAAAAAATCTGTTAAAAGAAAAAAAAGATCTGTGTGTGAAGAGCAAAAGCTGTTTTCAACAATGGTGCATGCCTATGGGCAAGACACCCAACTGCTCTGTGTCAATATCGCCACCTGTGAAACAGGTCAAATAACCCCTACCGCATTCATTCCTTCAACAAATACTGACTGAGCACCTAGTATGTGCCAGGCACTATGGCAAGCGCTTGGGAGGCATCAGTGAATAAAATGCTTAAAAAGAACAAAAAGTGGCTGGGCGTGGTGGCTCACGTCTCTAATCCCACCACTTTAGAAGGCCAACGTAGATGGATCGCTTGAGGCCCAGGAGACCAGACTGGGCAACACAGTAAAACCCAATCTCGGCTGGGCACGGTGGCTCACATCTGCAATCCCAGCACTTTGGAAGGCCGAGGCAGGTAGATCACCTGAGGTCAGGAGTTCGAGTCCAGCCTGACCAACATGATGAAACCCTGTCTCTACTAAAAATACAAAAATTGGCCAGGCATGGTGGCGCATGCCTGTAATCCCAGCTACTTCGGAGGCTAAGGCAGGAGAATCGCTTGAACCCGGGAGGCAGAGGCTGCAGTGAGCCGAGATTGCACCATTGTACTCCAGCCTGGGCAACAAGAGCAAAACTCTGTCTCAAACAAACAAACCAAAAAAACCCGATCTTTACTAAAAATACAAAAACTAGCTGGGAGTAGTGGCATGTGCCTGTAGTCCCAGCTACTTGGGAGGCTGAGGCACGACAATCACAGGAACCCAGGAGGTGAAGGTCGCAGTGAGCCAAGATCACACCACTGCACTCCAGCCTGGATGACAGAGGAGACTCTGTCTCCAAAAAAAAAAAAAGTCCTCAAGGAGCTTAACCTATAGTACATTATCTCCCTTTCTTCCCCCATTTAAAAATGGACAAAGCATTAGAAAACAAATCCAATAGAAGCCATCAGCTTTGGCCGGGCGTGTGGCTTACACTTGTAATCCTACCACTTTGGGAGGCAGAGATGGGAGGATCCCTTGAGGCCAGGAGTTCGAGAAGCTATCAGCTTTGTCAGCCCAAAAGTGGATATTTTTACTTAAAAAACAAATGCAGAAGTGAAAAGATGAAGAGCACTTGTATTGGAGTACACTGGCCTGGGTTTGAATTCAGACTCCCTCACTAACTAGCTAGAGTAACCTTGGGCAAGTTATTTAAACTAAGCCCCAGCTTCCTCATCTGTAAACAGAAATAACAGTGAACTTTTAAGTTGATGCAAAGATTAAATCAGATGAAATACAGACTGCAAGAGGTATAATGCCTCCTGTACATTAAGTTAGGTAACTGAAAAGATTAGGGTAACCTCCCCAAATGCCACCTTCCAAATCTGCAAAATGAGGATAATTATACCAATTTAATAGGACTGTTGTGAGGACTATGAAGATAATGCACAGAAAGCATTTACCATGACTGGCATACGATGGTACATATTTGCTTCTTAGAAATGAGTATTGGCCGGGCGCGGTGGCTCACGCCTGTAATCCCAGCACTTTGGGAGGCCGACGTGGATGGATCGCAAGGTCAGGAGATCGAGACCACAGTGAAACCCCGTCTCTACTAAAAATACAAAAAATTAGCCGGGCGCAGTGGCGGGCGCCTGTAGTCCCACCTACTCCGGAGGCTGAGGCAGGAGAATGGTGTGAACCCGAGAGGCGGAGCTTGCAGTGAGCCGAGATCGCGCCACTGACCTCCAGCCTGGGCGACAGAGCAAGACTCCGTCTCAAAAAAAAAAAAAAAAAAAAAAAAAAAGACATGACTATTAACAGTCAGGAGCAGTGGCTCACGCCTGTAATCCCAACACTTTGGGAGGCCAAGGTGGATGGATCATGAGGTCAGAAGTTTGAGACCAGCCTGGCCGACATGGTAAAACCCCATCTCTACTAAACATACAAAAGTTAGCTGGGTGTGGTGGCAGGTGCTTATAAGCCCAGCTACTCGGGAGACTAAGGCAGAAGAATTGCTTGAACCCAGGAGGCAGAGGTTGCAGTGAGCCAAGATCACGCCATGGCACTCCAGCCTGGGTGACAGAGCAAGACTCCATCTCGAAAAAAAAAAAAAGAAATGACTACTAACAAAAGTAAATGGGGAGGGTAGGCATGGCAGCTTTCACTAGTGAACCCCATGACTAAAGCTATAGAGAAACAGCTGGGAAAAGCAATTCTGGGGAAGAACACTATGCCCCCAAGACCAGGCACCAGGCAGAGACTCCCAGCAGACAGTTTGCCCACACAGTGGGATCAGATGCAGGTGGTTGTGAAATGACAAATGCAACCAAATCTGAGTCACCCAGGGTGACGTCCAGAGCGCGTGGATTATGGCAGCCTTGGCTTCGGTTGCCTCTCTTTCAGGCGCTTCCAGCTTTACCAGAGGCCTGAAAGAGCAAAGGAGAGGAATGGAAAGGGATTTACTACTACTACTTTGCAGGTTTTTAGAGGAAGGAGTGTTGGCTATGGAGGATAAAAATGATTTGGAGGAATTATCAGTAAAAGTCATTTATCCAGACTTGCTCTTGCCCCCAGTGAGGGCAGGTGAAGGCACTCCTTGTCTCCTTTTGGGCTGAGGCAGAGAACAGCAACAGGCAAAGACAGCAAGACTCCAAAATTGAGTGAGGGAGGGGAGAGTCAGTAGAGTGGGCTCAAGTGCCACACTACAACACCTGGGACAAGTAGGTTCACCAGCTCACGGTGCTCTGGGCCAGGTGTGCTGACTGACCCGTAGCTCCACTCAACAGACTGCTGGAAAGCTCTTGGCCCTACCTTCAGTAAACCAGAGGTCTTGGTATATACACCCGTCTACCAACATTATAAACAAGATAAATCAGTTCCGTAAACAAGCACCAAAAAGGGGCCTACCAGACCAAAGGGACATGAACCAAAACCTTCTATGTCAGGGCTAAAGTGGAACCCAGGTTCCCTGCTGCCCGGCTGCACCTTTCCGACAACAGGATGTTACCCCTCTCGAAGGTGGCTCACCTGGAATTGGTAACCACAAAGTCAAATATCAAGCAAAGTATGTGATTCAGCTTTTCAACAAGTCTATGGCTGTAAAGAAATAAAGCTTCGCTATGTGTGTACATCACTGCAGTGGCTTTAGGCAATTCAGATATCCTGGGTGCTGCCTCTTGGTTCATCCTGTACGAGCTGCCATGGGAGGCACTCTCTGCCTCAGGCCAAAAAGCAAACAGTGAAGTGAGCCACGGCAGTCACCCAAAGCACAGACACACAAACCACATGCCCACTGTTGAGGGTGTCTCCAAGGCCTAAGCAGGCCAACTGTGACTTCTCTACTCAAAAACTTTGGACTCCCTACCACTTAAATTAAGAAGAAAAGGTCAAATCCTGCCCCACCTTCCACCTTGCCCCACTATCCCTCCAACCCATCTTCTCAGACACCTTCCTCAACACCAAATTACACTGTAAACTCAAAACCAACCTGCTTTCCTGCTGGGCTCTCAGCCCCTACTTGTGCTTTTCCTAGAAGTGCAGACCCACTCCTGCGAGCTTCTGTGAGCCTTGGCCTTCCCATGGGAACTTGGCTCAGGGTCCACATGGCATAAGAATTCCTTTCATAATGTCAACTCCCCAAAGGCAAGAAACACCAAACTCCACCATGCCTAAACCTAGCATAGCAATTGCTCAATTAAGGATATTTCAGATGAAGCTGGAGGTATTCAAATAATGTGTTAAGCTCAAAAGCATAACTTTTTTTTTGAGACGGAGTCTCACTCTGTTGCCCAAGCTGGAGTGCAGTGGCCCAATCTCAGCTTAGTGCAACCTCCGCCTCCCGGATTCACGCAATTCTCCTGTCTCAGCTTCCCGAGTTGCTGGAATTACAGGTGCCCACCACCACACCTGGCTAATTTTTCTATTTTTAATAGAGATGGGGTTTCACCATATTGGCCAGGCTGGTCTCGAACTCCTGAACTCAGGTGATCTGCCCGCCTTGGCCTCCTAAAGTGCTGGGATTACAGGTGTGAGCCACCACGCCCGGCCCCAAGACAAACAAATTGAGTCAAGTGGTAGAAACTCTCCAGGTATCACCGTATATTGAGATTATCTAAAAGAACAACTCTTAAAGCCTGCCATAAAGCTTCCTGGTCATGTGTCACTGGCTGCATGATCTCAGAAACAGGAGCATCTCTAAGCCTCAGTTTCCTGTCTTTAAAAAGGAGAAAATAACAGCTACACCTCATGAAGTTGTTGAGATGATTACACACAGAGACATACATGGTGCTCTGCTTCCCCTAAGTAGTGTGCCCTGGTCGAACCCACTAAAAGCAGCACTTTCAGACACTGCCTCCAACCCAGCTCCCCTCCAGGTCCCCCAAAAGCTCCACTTCAGCTTACCAGAATCCTACTTCCTCCTGCACAATCTCAAATGCGAGAACACATGAAAAAACAAAACTAAACAAAAAATGTTCGCCAACAATTCGGAAAATCATAAAATGAAACAATCTGTTTTCAGTGATGGAAATGATTGAGGTATGTGTTCTGTCCAACCCACCAAGTTTACAGGAGGCCTACCCCCATTTTGCACAACCCTCCCATCCAAGTCCCTTAGTCCATGAGTACAAGCTTTGAAATGTATAAAGTCAGGCTATAAAAAATTCGTATTTCTTCCCCAGAGGACTCTGAAAACCTGAGAGTACAAGGCAATGTTGTGCCTCTACAATAATTACTACACCATTAATTGTCTTTGGGGCCTGCAGTCTGACTTCCTTCACATCCACTCTAACTTTTCAGGCCTCGGGCACATGATGCTCCTTTGTTGGCTGTTTCAGCTGCAGTGAAGGGGGTGGATCCAAGCAGAGGACCAGGAACATCTGAGGGGCAGAGTCGTGACCCAGATGAGGGCACATGCTCTGCAGGTGAGCAGCGAGCTGGCAATTGCTGTAAGGCAGCTCCACCTTTTGAACAGATTCTATTTCCACCAGACGCTGCCAGCCCCTAAAGCCATCACCCACAGAGTCATCAAGACAGCAAATTAGCTGGCCCTCTGCTCACACCTATCCCACCCTGCAGTCACTCCCAACTGACACACCAAACTCGTGGTTACGAGGAATACATTGTCCCAGTTCAGCTCCCAGTGTCCATCCTCAATATTTTTGAGAAATGAGTCCCTCTCCTCTAAAGAATTCCAATCTCTAATGACCTTAAGTAAGTACCAACTAGTACAACACAATTAGGGAAGTCTAAACATTGTTGAATTATATTTGCTGAAAATAAATGTTCCCACCTTTCCCCTATCATTTAACAAGGCTTCAGAAGGCAGCCCACATATCCTGGGTTGAAAAATCTCTTGTAAAAAAAAAGGGAAGAAGTTATTCTGTTAAAGAGAATACCAAATTCCAAGTTCACACTGCAGTTTGCTAAACACCTTGTCTTCTCTCCGACTTAAATTTTCTAAAGGGTTAGCAGTTCTCTGAACCACAGAGCTGCTCACATCACAGTCCTGCTCCAAAGCATTTGATGGCTCACAACAGACTCCACCACCGAGCCCCCGTCCATTTTTCCAGGGCCAACACTTCTCATCATTCCAACTCAATACAACACGCCTAAGCCCTATCCTCTAGTCACATTCCACTTTTTGCCCTACCCTGTCCTCAACTAAGCCTCATATTTTCATACTCCAGGGCCTGTACTTAAACTGCTTTTTGCCTAGAAGGACGTTTTCCTTCCCCACATCATCCTCCTCCACATGACAAGCCCTGCACATTTGAGAGCATCACTTCCTCTTCTTTTCCCAACCACTTCCCACTTGCAGGCCCCTCCACTTGTCCTTGCTGGTTATGAGGCACTGACGAGTTTTAGGGCAGGGACCATGTTTTACCCATCCTTGCATTTCCAGAGGCTGGTACCCAGGGCAAGTGTCAAGAAACGGTTCTTGATGCAGGCTTGCTGATGGTGGTATTCCACAGATGGGAAAAAAGGAGCCCAGAATGCTGGCCTCCTAATCCAGATTGCTTCTCAGTATTATTTTGCTGAAACTACCCAGCTGCTGTGAGCAAAATAACAATGATAATAACAGTAGCAAATAGAGAAGATAGGTCAGTTATAACTGAGCTGGTAGCACACAAGACGTAATTCTCTGTTACTAGTTTCAAAACAGTCCTGCCAGCACAGTGGCTCATGCCTGTAATCCCAGCACTTTGGGAGGCGGAGGCAGGCAGATCACCCGAGGTCAGGAGTTTAAGACCAGCCTGACCAATACGATGAAACCCCATCTCTACTAAAAATAAAAAAATCAGCTAGATGTGGTGGCGTGTGCCTGTAATCACAGCTACTAGGGAGGCTAAGACAGGAGAATCGCTTGAACCTGGGAGGCGGAGGTTGTAGTGCACTCCAGCCTGGGCAACAAGAATGGGTCGGGGGGGAATCGAGGCCGGGCGCAGTGGCTCACGCCTGTAATCCCAGCACTTTGGGAGGCCAAGGCGGGCGGATCACGAGGTCAGCAGTTCAAGGCCAGCCTGACCAACATAGTGAAACCCAGCCTCTACTAAAAATACAAAAATTAGCTGGGTGTGGTGGTGCGCACCTGTAATCCCAGCTACTCAGGAGGCTGAGGCAGGAGAATCACTTGAACCCGGGAGGCGGAGGTTGCAGTGAGCCGAGATCGTGCCACTGCACTCCAGCTTGGGCGACAGAGCAAGACTCCGTCTCAAAACAAACAAACAAACAAACAAACAAACAAAAAACAGTCCTTCTCCGCAGACAGGAAGAAGCAGGAAACAGACCTTGAAGTACTTACCGTAATTCAGTATCTGCCAGTTCCATAACTTGCTCCGATGCCCTCACAAAGGAGCAAGGCACACTGGGAACCCCCATCCCAAACACACTCTAAGAGACAGGACAGCCTCCTCTCATTGCCCTCCAGTCCACACGGCTCTTCCTGCTTGAAAAGTAAAACAACAAAGAAACAACACCTCCCAGAGGCTATCACACTTGAGCACTGCCACATGTCACTGGGCCTCTTACAATCACCCCAATACCAGTTCTGAGGCAAAACCTTGAGTTTCCATATTATGTAAAATAATAAACTATTATAAAACAACAATGGACCTGTTCTCAAGGCACTGGCCCTACCCAATGCAAAACTAAATTCCCAAATGCTTATAGAGCTTAGAGTCTCTTCAAAAGTAGGCAACCTGTGAGTCTGAAACAGGGCTGAGTACTTTCAGGGAGGTTAAAAGTGGTGCCCACATGAAAGGTTTCAAGAGACAGGAGAGGCCCCCCCATTAACCACATGGAGGACTAGCAGAAGCCTGGAGTCCAAGGCCCCACTCTTCCACTTCTGGGACATTTCCCACCACGCAAAAGATCATCTCTGTTCTACACTCTAACCTTTCCAAGGGGAACAGGGTGACAATTCCATACTTGGCAGAATTTGTCCAGTGTTTCACCCTACCTCTCCACCAGGTCTTTCCCTGACAGTCTTATGCTTTAGTGTCTTGTTGACCTCCCTTCTATAAGGGCTCCCAAATTCCAGTCACCTGGTTTGTGTACTAACACCACTTTTGCAAACCCCTCACTTCCACAAAACACTGAATCTCCCTTCTGACCATCACAGAAGTGAAGATCTAGCTTATGTTGTCAAATACCAGCTAGAATAAGCTGTTCCACTGGTAAGCTGTAATCTGCTGTTTCCACAAGCCAGAACAGTTTTCCCCTCGATGTGCCTCACAAGGAAGGATCTGCACACAGCAGGTTTTCAGTGAGTTCTTGTTTGGTGAATGGATCATGTCTCTATGACAGGTAGTCTGCCAGAGGTCAGAAGCACAGCTCAGAGTCACACTTCACAGTTTGAGCCCTACTAGCTAGCTGCTTCTCTGGGTCTCAATTTCCTCATCTGAATCATGGGGATAACAACTGCATCTACATCATGGGGTCAGAGAATTGTTGTGATGAATGAATGAGATGATGCATGAAAGGAATTTAGGCGGCTGGTAACTAGTACAGGCTCAATAAATGTTAGATCTTATGACTGCTGCTTCTACTGCCACCATGCTGGGAGTATTTCTACATGAAAAGCCTAACAACCAACAAAGGGTGAAAACTAAATTATAACAATGGAGTCCCATGGAGTTACTTGAATGCTGGGAGTTGAACTTATTTAAAAGTACTCTAGACAGATTAATTTGTAATATAACCACTTGCAGTTTCTGGTGTTTAGGACTGGATTTCTGTGTACTCAGTTTCCTGAAGAGACACAAGAGGCAATGCTAGCTACCATGAGACTTCTGGTAGCTACCATGAGACAAGCTGGCCAAATGAGCCCTTCCAAAATTCCACTTCCTGCAAAGATAACAATGACATAAATCATGATCTCTAAATATAATAATTTGGCCAATGCTAACCACACCGCCTCCCCAATACACATATACTCCCCCCCTTTTCTTGAGCACACCACAAAAGGAACACATGACCACACAGCATCTACTCTCCAGGGCAGAATGGAAGGACAAAGGCACAAAGCAAGCCTCAGAACACACAGGCCACCGTGTTTGCCACATCTATATCAAGAACTGCTTAAACAAAAAATAAAATCAACGACAAAACTCTCAGACGGGTGACCACCCCGGTCCCAGAGCTTACTACCGCAACAGGACCAAACATGCATACACTCTCTTTCTAAAGCAGAGTGTCCACTTTCCTAAGGAAAAAGTAATTTTTATACCATGTATCCCAATGCCGCATTCTTAGCAAGATGACAGGCCTTTGGGTACACGAAGAAGGGACATATCACAGATACCCTTAAGACACATCACATGAGGCCGGGCGCGGTGGCTCACACCTGTAATCCCAGTACTTTGGGAGGCCGAGGCAGGTGGATCACGAGGTCAGGAGATTGAGACCATCCTGGCTAACACAGTGAAACCCCATCGCTATTAAAAATACAAAAAAATTAGCCAGGCGTGGTGGCGGGCGCCTGTAGTCCCAGCTACTCGGGAGGCTGAGGCAGGAGAATGGTGTGAACCCAGGAGGCGGAGCTTGCAGTGAGCTGAGGTCACGCCACTGCACCCCAGCCTGGGCGACAGAGCAAGACTCCATCTCAAAAAAAAAAAAAAAAAAGACACATCACATGGCCTGGCCTAACTGATGCCACTCTGAACTTCTCTGAGAAAACCTCACTAAAATTCCAAAACATGTATTTATTTATTAACTTATTCAGTAATCTCCTCAGGTCCTCAGGAGCTTTATGTAAAATACGTTCAACTTTCGGCCAGGCGTGGTGGCTCACGCCTGTAATCCTAGCACTTCGGGAGGCTGAGACGGGCGGACTGCCTGAACTCAGGAGTTCGAGACCAGCCTGGGCAACACAGTGAAACCCTGTCTCCATTAAAATACAAAAAATTAGCTGGGCGTGGCGGCACGCGCCTGTACAGAGTCCCAGCTCCTCAGGAGGCTGAGACAGGAGAATCGCTTGAACCCGGGAGGTGGAAGTTGCAGTGAGACGAGATTGCACCATTGTACTCCAGCCTGGGCAACAGAGTGAGACTCTGTCTCCAAAAAAAAAAAACACATTCAACTTCATTCACAGATGATGCATCAGATGGTCTAACATATCCAGAAAACAGCCGTATGTAAGACATGCCAATACCCCACAGCCTAGAGAAACCAACAAACCAGGGACCCGAGGGGCAACACCACGGTGAGGCAAAAACACAAATGTTTAAGGTAAAACACATTACCCAACAGAGAGTATGTGTGGTCACCACTATCCAGCACTCTTCAAAATAAGTAGCTGTGGATGGGTTATCCAAAAGTGAGCTGATACATGCTTGTCAGCAGAAACTGGTTTCTAAATGTATTATCACCCCCAATTTTGGATATTCATGACAAGGCAATTATCTAGCATGCTGTATTTATAACACACTTCTCATTTGACCTCTAAATCTACACATCTGCTTAGGTCACACTGAAGTGAAAGACTCCAAGTTGTTTGTAGAGTACTTTAAAATTTAAATTTTCAAAAATACGCTTAAGTCCAGTTTTCAAAGATTTCTTCCCAGCCATCTCTTCACCAAGCTATTCCAATCAGAAAAAGTGAGGAGTAGAAGGTCTTTGTTGAGTTTTGTTCCCATCTATTCAATTCATCTGGCCAAATACAGGGCTGGGCCAGGCGCGGTGGCTCATGCCTGTAATCCCAGCACTTTGGGAGGCCAAAGCAGGAGGATCACTTGAATCCAAGAGTTCAAGACCAGCCTGGGCAACATAGTAAAACCCCACCTCTACAAAAATTTTAAAAATTAGCCAGGCATGGCGGTGCCCGCCTGTAGTCCCAGCTACTCAGGAGGCTGAGGTAGGAAGATCACTGGAACCTGGGAGGTCGAGACTGCAGTGAGCCGTGATCACAACACTGGACTCCAGTATGGGTGACACAACAAAACTCCATCCCTTAAAAAAGAAAAAAGAAAAAAAATGAGAGAGAGATGGAAATTCACGTTCTCCTCAGTATACTACCTGGGGCCCAAAGGAATGTTCAGGTTATATCCATCAGGGTTGATACCTTATAAAAGAGAAGCTTCTTTGGAGCATGCTCACCTGAGGTTTTGATGAGTTATTCGGATGATATTAGAGAAAAGCATTATCCAAAATGGGAGCCCAATAAGACTTTCATGTGAGACCATCTTAAAGGCTGGTGACCCAACTCACACAGAAGGGGATGGGCCATGCATCCAAGTGAGGCATGCACCTTCCCTCGGGAAGCAGAAATCCTAAGTAGGTGACAACCACTTGCTGAGTGGCCGGAGCACACCCTGATGGAAGTCTCAGGGTCAGATTGCACCCTGCCTCCCTGCATTGCATCAAGCAGGGCAGCACACCTGCACTCCAGCTTCTAGTGTGTACCAACTCAGTGGAAAACACGTCACTGTCGGTTTTGTTCCAAAAAGATTTTGTTTGCCATTAAAAAAAAAAAGTTAATTAACGTAGTAGAAACCAAAGGACTGCCTGGGGGTAGGGAGCAAGTCAGCCATCACCAGAGGTATTTAAATACCAGCTAGACAATCACTCCACGGGGACAGGTTCCACTCCTTGTGAAAGGGGTCAAATAAATCTTCTCCTTTGGCACCCAAAGGAGATCTAGTGGAGGGCCCAACACATTAGATACACAACAAGTGTTGCTGACTGAATGAACTATGTTTTCACACAGATTACAGGTCAAGCAAAATACTAATGTAACTCTAATATATTAAGGGCATCGGGTGACCACTGAGGTACTTTATGTGGTTCCAACTAAGAAATAAGTTGGAAAATCAGGTCATGAAATGAGTTCTGATGCTCCTAAGTAAAAGGTTTGAGCCACTGTGAGAGTCCTAGCTTGGTCCCTACCCAAAGGCTCTTCCCATGAACCCTATGCTCAAGTCAAACAGATAAAGCATCGCTAAAACACACTTCAGTGCTTTTAAGATTTAGGTCTAGGCCAGGTGTGGTAGCTCACACCTGTAATCCCAGCATTTTGGAAGGCCAAAGTGGGTAGATCACTTGAGCCCAGGAGTTTGAGATCAGCCTGGGCAACATAGTAAAATCCCATCTTTACAAAAAAATACAAAAACTGGCCAGGCGCAGTGGCTCACGCCTGTAATCCCAACACTTTGGGAGGCTGAGGTGGGTGGATCACCTGAGGTTGGGACTTCGAGACCAGCCTGGCCAACATGGTGAAACCTCATGTCTATTAAAAATACAAAAATTAGCCAGGCGTAGTGGCAGGCACCTGTAATCCCAGCTACTCGAGAGGCTGAGGCAGGAGGGAGAATCACTTGAACGCAGGAGGCAGAGGCTGCGGTGAGCCAATATCGTGCCACAGCACTCCAGCCTGGGTGACAGAACAAGACTCTGTCTCAAAAAAAAAAAAAAAAAAAAAAAATTAGCCAAGCGTGGTGGCGCACACCTGTAGCCCCAGCTACTCAAGAGGCTGAGGTGGGAGGATCACTTGGGCCCACGAGGTCGAGGCTGCACTCCACCCTGTTGACAGAGCGAGGCCTTGTCTCAAAAAAAAAAAAAATAGGTGTACATCTCATCTAAAAATCATTCAAAAGCTCAGACCATCTACAAGAAATTTTTCCTGTTCCTTTTAGCATCGGGAAATTAAAAAAAGGAAAAAGGAGGATAGAATACGAGGCAGCCATTGGTTTTTTCCCCAATGGTAAGAACATAACGTCTGTTTCTCACTGTTACATAAGTACTGTTCATGCTTCATCCATGCCATGTACTTTTTTTTCTTTTTGAGAAGGGGTCTCACCCTGTTGCTCAGGCTGGAATGCAGTGGCACAATCACAGCTCGCTGCAGCCTCAACCTCCTGGGTTCAAGTGATCCTCCCACCTCAGTCTCCTGAGTATCTGGGACTACAGGTGTGTACCACCATGCCCGGCTAAGGTTTGTATTTTTTTGTAGATACAGGGTTTTTTACCTTGTTGTCCAGGCCAGTCTCAAACTCCCGACCTCAAGGGATCTGCACGGCTCGGCCTCCCAAACTGCTGGGATGAGAGGCATGAGCCACCACGCCCGGCCTAGGTACATAATTTTTAATCAACTAAAACACAGTGCAAGTAAAGAAATAGCTAAAAAAGGCGGGCGGGGGGTGGGGGTGGGGACATAAATATAGCTCTTTAAAAGGTAGAGAACACACCTTGTTCGTAAACCCTGACTAATCCAGCGTTTCACTGTCAGAGGCATCATCATCCACTCAGCTGCAAAAGCCAGAGACCAGGAAGTCATGTCTCCCTTCCACGACCCTTCCTCATCGCCAAGCCCCTCCCACCTCTTAAACCTTTATCAAATCCTTCTAAGCTCCCTTTTTCTACTGCCACCACCGGTTTTCAAAGTTTCAAAAACTAGCGTTCTAACTGACATTCTTCCAAACAGAAGGCAAACAGTTGCTTCCTTCTAGCCAGGTCTATTCTCAACTCTGGGTAGGAATAATCTTTAAAAATGCAAATCTCATCATGCTAATCTGGCCTAACACTTTTCGTAGCTTCCCAGAGTTCCTAGCAGCCTGCTCTAGCCCTTATCTACCGCACCATCCCTGTAATTCACTGGTTCTGTGTCTTGTCTTCCTCCAAACACTGTGCTTTTCTCATTTTCCTGGACGCACACCTCTCTCCAACCTCAGGGTCTTTGTACAAGCCGTTTTCTGACGCTTTTTCTTTCCTCTCACCCATCCTTCAGCTATTAGCTCAAATGTCACTTCCACAAGGTGCCTTCCTTGACCGGCCTCCCAGCATCTTTCACTCCTCCCCCACACACAAAGGCCACACACTGGTGGCACTTAGCACGTGTATATAAAAATGACTTCTTAGTTGCTGAACACGTGTCCTTTTCTTTTTTTTTGAGATGGAGTCTCGCTCTGTCACCCGAGCTGGAACGCAGTAGCACGATCTCAGCTCATTCAACCTCTGCCTCCAGGGTTCAAGCGATTCTCCTGCCTCAGCCTCCTGAGTAGTTGGGATTACAGACGCCCGCCACTACGCCCAGCTAATTTTTGTGTTTTTAGTAAAGATGGGGTTTCACCATACTAGCCAGGCTGGTCTCCCAAAGTGCTGGGATTACAGGCGTGAACCACCACGCCTGCCATTTCTTTTGATGCAATATATCCTCTACGAGGCTTTCAACTATCTTTCCCATACCAGTAAACTTGGTGCTTAACACAGTAGCCTTGCATAGTGGATATTCAAATATGTATTGAATCAATAAAAATCTGTAAATGTTAAAAAAATAATAACACCATGGGAGGCCAGGTGCAGTGGCTCACGCTTGTAATCCCATCACTTTGGGAGGCCGAGGTGAGTGCACCACCTGAGGTCAGCAGTTTGAGACCAGCCTGGCTAACATGGTGAAACCCTGTCTCTAAAAAAAAAAAAAAAAAAAAAAAAAAAAAATTAAAAAAAACACCATGGGATTGGCAAATTTGGTGGTGAAAAACTGACTATTTTCAAAAGGACGCTAAATCTCATACTGAATCACACTCCAGGACAGGAGGTTGTGAAGCCTTATTAAGCTTTTGAACAAATGGTTCTCAGAAACCTTCTTTTCATGATTTAAATACAAATCAAATTCAGAGACACGCAAGTTAAGCCTCCTTTAAACTATACTTGGTTTTAAACTTTTAATAGAACACTTTAGCCAAATACATACAGATTTAACTAACCAAGCCATAGAAAACCTGTTTGAGATGTTCACTAGTTTTATAAAATTATCCTCCAAAACATTTAAAATTCCTAAAGCAAAGGAAAAACTGACTTTAAAATAACCTATTTTCTGGGCGGGAGCGGTGGCTCACACCTGTAATCCCAGCACTTTGGGAGGCCAAGGCGGGCAGATCACATGAGGTTGGGAGTTTGAGACCAGCCTGGCCAACATAGTGAAACTCTGTTTCTACTAAAAATACAAAAATTAGCCAGGTGTGGTGGCATGCGCCTGTAATCCCAGCTACTCAGGAGGCTGAGGTGGGAGAATCGCTTGAATCCAAGATGTGGAGGTTGCAGTGAGCTGAGATTCCACCCCTGCACTCCAGCCTGGGAGATAGTGCAAGACTCTGTCTCAAAAAGAAAACAAAAAACTATTTTCTGTATTGAAGAGGAAAATATATGAGCCTCCTGATAAATAAAACTACGTTAGAATATTATATCTGAATGTATCTGCCAAATCTGAGCCTAAACTCTAGTTAGCAGATAAGCACTTGTTAAAAAATATTTATAGTAATATATTTTTAATCAACCAGGATTTCATCTTGTATAAAAAATACCAAGAACTTCCACACACTATGTCATTTTCTTCTTTTTGCTTTTTTAAATTCATGTCAGGCTCAGTGGCTCATACCTCATACCTGTAATCTCAACACTTTGGGAGGCTGAGGTAGGAGGACTGCTCCATCCCAGGAGTTTAGGAATTTGAGACCAGCATGAGCAACATAGAGAGACCCTGTCTCCAAAAAAATAAAAAATAAAAATTCATTGTTTAAAAAGGAAATCTGGTGGGGCGCGGTGGCTCATGCCTGTAATCCCAGCACTCTGGGAGTCCAAGGTGGGCAGATCACCTGAGGTCAGGAGTTCAAGACCAGCCTGGCCAACATGGTGAAACCCCATCTCTACTAAAAAAAATACAAAAATTAGCTGGGTGTGGTGGTAGGCGCCTGTAATCCCAGCTACTCGGGAGGCTAAGAGAATCGCTTGAACCTGGGAGGCGGAGGTTGCAGTGAGCCAAGACTGCGCCATTGCACTCCAGCCTCGGTGACAAGAGTAAAACACTTCGTCTCAAAAAAAAAAAAAAAAAAAAAAAAAAAAAAAAAAAAACAGGAAACCTATTCACATGGTTCACCTTTGTGTTTCAGAACACCCACCCCATCTTCCTGGTTATCTCCCCTATTTCTGAAGACATATCTACCTCTTTTATGAGAAAATTAAGATTTTGATTTTGTATATTCAGAGAAATGTTTTGTTTTTTACACTGAAGTGTCAGAATAAAGGGAGCTCCCTTAAAACAGTGAAAATGATTATTTTTATAAATATGATCTAAAATCAACTATTACCACGTGTATACTGCACATACACAGACACATACAAACACATAAAGCAAGATTTATACCCTGTAGATTTCTGGCTTGGTATTCTGTTTTGAATCCTACGAGTAATGGAAAAAAGAGAAGCTAAATTATACACAGACCAACACTCCTATTAACTCATACCACTAATGAAACAAAACTCTAACTAAGCAGAGAAAATGGGCCCACACATTGGAGCTCTGAAATGATTTTGGTCTTTGATCTGTGTGCCCATCTCTCCTATTTAATGTAAACTTCAAATCAAGAGCCATGAAAAATGGTTATAATTAGTAAAGGCCCCAGTGTGACAGCTTTTAGTGCAACCAGGCATTAACAAGGAGTTTTTTTCACTTTTACATTAAGCTGAGCCAACTTTTATTTTAGAATTTCTGTAATTCAAAATTCTTTCCCACCAAAGAACTTAATTCTTTCCCACCTAGCACCACCTTCTGCATGATGGGTATGCTGAAATCGTTAGTTCATGTCTATTTCCTTCATTGAATTTGTAGCACTATTTAGGCCTTAGCTTCCAAATTACATGTGGCTATTCTCCAAAATCTTCAGAAACTCTCATTTTTGTATCAGAAATCAACACACAGTGGTGAGTGAGCACCAACTATGCAATCGTTCTAGGTGCAGGAGATGGGAAAATATTCTTGAAGTGAGAGAAACATGTTAAGAGATAAATTACAACAGACAAGACTTGACAGATGGGGGTAAAAGTTACTCACAACAGAAGAGCTAATTCTCCATAGAAGAGGTAGTATTTAAGCTGGGTCTTGAAAAAAAGAGTACAAAATTTTTATTGCTGAAGGAAGGGGATGGGGATGCAACAGAATGAACAATCCAGGCAACAGGAGGCAGTAAGAATCAATTCAGTGTGGCAGTGGGGTAGAAGAGAGTGACAAGAGCTGAGACTAGAAATTCAGCTTGGAAGCAGACGAAGTTCCTTGTATGCCAAGTTAAGGAGTTTGGATTTCTTCCTGTAGACAACAGAGAGCCAAGAGATGTTTTTAAGCAGGCAAACACCACGCACGGCTTTAGTTCTGATGATTCTGGCAGCAGAGTGGAGGATGAACTGCAGTAAGGAGAAACTGGTGGCAGGAAATTAACTTGGGAGGCGTTTGTGACTTGATGAGGGCCTTAGGTCAGAAACGATAGAACAGCCAATGCCAGGGCCAGACTGGAGTGTGGTTTTGCAGAGGGCCTGGTGACTGATCGAACATTGGGGCAGGACAGACATACGTCAGGACGGCAGTAAGACTCCTGGCCTAGAAGGCTGGGTGGATGGTGATCACCTTCCAGAAGGAAGGGAGAGGACTTTCATTTTTACAAGTACCTGCAGGGTAAGGTACTTGCAGGGTGATCAGGGTGACAAAAGGTTCAAGCTTGGGAGAAGTTGTAAATGGAGATATAGAGTTGGGAGTTGGCAGTTTATAGGTTAGACGAGAAGACAGAAAAGCACCAGAACGCAGAGTGCGTTCTGCAGGAACAGGACTCGTTACCACGTATGGGACTGCAAAGGTGGCTGCAGAGCAATGGCCCTGAGCACCATCAGTGCGACTGACACCAATGGGACACTGACTAACCGCTGGTTTAGATGTAAAAAGAGCTATCTTCAAGTATTGCACATGTCTATAAAGTGGGAGCCCAGGCCACTCTAGGGGTGACTCTGCCTACCACTGGCAGCCCTTCCTTTTCTGGAATTCGATCTCTGTCTCCCTGTTTTCTTCTCCCCTCTATGGTTTCCTTACCTCCTGTCTGTGTGATAGGCTGGGGGGTGGGGGGGAAGGCCAAGGGTCAGATCAGTTAACACTTGCTGGCTAAAAGATCACTCCTGACACTATATTAGACATTTCTGGTCTGAGGCCTGGGGTCCCTTAACATAAAAATAATCACCGCCTCCTACCCTGCATCCCCTTACTCCCTCCCTATCCCTCCCAACCACAGCAGCTGGCAGCCATCCACCCTCTCAAGAGGAGATGTATGGACAGAGCACCCGGCTCAGAAACACTGCCCTATAAAAACGGCAGACGGTTATGTAAGAATTTTGCAAAAACTTGAGAAAATAAAACAAGGGAGACTACGAATGCAAAAACATTAACTGTTAAGCAAGTAAGGGCTAGTTCAAACACTTAAAAAAAAAAAAAGGTATACTCCACATAACTTAGAACATGAAGGAGGCTGCAGATGACAGCACCAGAGCAAGTTTCCCAAATAACTGAAGAGGTGACTGGGAAAGCTGAGCCATCGACCACAACAGCTTCACAAAGCCAATGAATCTAGTTTGTTTTAGAAGTAGATGACTTCTAGAATTTTCATTTACTACGGGGTTTTCAAATATATTTAATGCCACTTAACATTTTCCTCAACCCCAAATTTTCTGTGAAACTTCGAACTTGCCAACCATGGTACCTCAGAGGCAAATAAGAGCTTACTTGCTTTATGGAATTTCAGATTTCTAAATATATCGCATGCAATACAGGCAGCGCACCCAGTGGACTTGTAGATGAGACCCAGGCCACGACTACTGTACCTTTCAAGCAGGCTTTCTCAACCTCAGCTCTGCTGACGTATGGGGGTCGTTCTGTGCACTCCAAGATGTGGAACAGCATCTTTGGGGTCTATGCACTAAAGGCCAGTAGCAGCTCCCCGCTGCCGCCCCCCCCCCCACCAGAAACACTTAAAAATGTCTCCAGACAGTGCCAAAAGTCCCCTGGGGGCAAACCCACCAGGTTGAGAACCACTTCTTCAAAGAGTAAGCCCCAAGCTTGTCATCAGCTTTTTCCTTAAAACTCATCCCTCACCCTGATCAACATGGTGAAACCCTGTTACTACTAAAAATACAAAAATTAGCTGGGCGTGGTGGTGTGTGCCTGTAGTCCCACCTGCTCAGGAGACTGAGGCAGGAGAATCGCTTGAACCCTGGAGGTGGAGGTTGCAGACAGGCAAGATTGTGCCACTGCACTCCATCCTGGGCGACAGCAAGACTCTGCCTCACCTAAGTGAACCACATTAAGAAGAATTTGCTAGTCCTGTTAGTCTCCCAGCACTAAAAACAAAAACAAAGTGCTGCATTTCCCCAATCTGAACATAAACTCCTAGGCAAAATTTGACTAAGGTAATGGAGGTGTGCAAAATTCTGGAAAGGAAATCCAGAATGGATACCCACAAAGCTTCCTGAGCTCAAAATATACCACTTTCTTCCGTTTATAGATTTTGACTTTCTGGAACATCTACTTTATCCTTACAACAATCTCATGAGGTAGAAAGGCTACTAAAAAGATACATGTCATCACAGTTCATCAACAGAAATGCTACCAAGAGCAGAAGTGCTTTTTAAAATTTCCTTATACCTTCAAACTCAATTAGGTTTATTTTGAAAAGGATCTGGTCTTATTTAAAAACCACACACCATACACATGGAGATAAATAGGCAGTATATATTTAATGCTGCTAAGTCCTCCTGAGGTCAAACTGACTCTAAAAAGCAGCTGTTCTACAGGGCTAGGCTGGAGTTAGGAGTTCTGGGTTCCAAGTTTGATTCATTAACAGCCCCCGGGTGGACCACCGCGCAGCTGTAAAATGGGTCAACATACCCACCCAACTCCCACAGTGTTCCTCTCAGCATGAACGTGGAATCTTTGCTAAAGGCCTCCACAAAAGCAGGGTGAAATTAACTAAGTCCTAGAAGGTATATCTGAATGAAAAAGAAAAATTTTAAAGTGATTAAACCACCAGAAGTATCAGACACTTTCATAACAATTCTATCCCATAGTCTCTGAAAAGGGGGAAAGAGATGAAATACCAAGCAAACTAGAGAAAAACAAATAGAGCATTTAAAAGCTTTATCTAATTACCCCCACTGAGACGTTTTCTCTTCACTCTGGCTGTCTGACAATGCCTGTGGGGGTTTTCATTCTCTTTCTCCACCCACCCTCATGATGTCTGCAAGCCCTCAGGTGAATCCCTGCAGGAGCAGTCAGGACCCAGTCCCCAGTCCCCGGACTTCACAGAGGTTTTCGAATTCTCTTAGCTTTACTGGCTTGAATCACACTGAACAAACAATCTCCACCCTCTCCCATGCTTTCGTCTGAAGCACCTACTCACAGTCAGCCACCTCTACTGATGGGCAGACTGGCTAACTTCAGTACCCTTGAAGTCCCACCAGAAATAAGATGCACCGATCGCTCCCAGTCTCCTCCTCCCCATCCGCTTCACCCCAACCCGCCACTGCCAACGGCAGAGTGCAATCCCCAGCTACACTCGGCTGCAGTTCAGACCACGCTGAACACCAGAGAACGTGACAAGAGAAATTGGGCGGAGCACAGTCGATGACATTGCCGACAGGACTGCTAACAAAAAAGGAAAAACCCCTCTCCACCTTCCTCATTCTTTTACCTCCGTAGTAATGAAAACAACAGTAGTTTTCTTTTCTGTATTCTGCCTTCTATGGGAGTGGGGGAAATGAAAAATAAGTGATGCATTTCAGAGAGCACACCGTATGCCTCCCTCTGGGTTTCATACGGTGTACCTTTTACCTTTGATATAAGGTACCTGCAACCCTGCAACCCTCACCCCCCTGTGGAAATCACTGTCTGACCCTTGCTCTTTGAAAACTGCCATGGCTACTTCTACTCAAAAATCACTGTCTAAATCAGGAAAGAAAGAGAGAAAAGAAACAGAAAGAAAATACATTTATCAATTTCTTAATTATATTTGGACATAAAAAATATGACTCAACACTGCCTGTTCAATAGGTCAGATGTACAGAAATTAACCTTGAAGCAGGGAAACTTTTGGCTTACAACAGGCTTACCATTCAACCAAGAGATGATAGTTACTCATCATGGCTTCAATTAGATTTCAACCATTTTATCTCAATGAAAAACTTCAAGATACTTGAACATACTTTTGGCAGAAATGTAATGTACATCACACCTATTTTTGTTTTCTGACATTTGGCCAGTCCTTCCAAAGATACTCTGAACCTAATATAATTATTTTTAAAAAGATAGCTATGAACTGGGCGGAATAAACTGCACTAGGGAGGTGGAATGAAATGGAGGAGAAGCCCTATCAAAACCTAATCTAAGGGAATGGTAATCTCAGTAAAGGGGGAAAGAAAGCTATTGTCCCCTTATCAGGACAGACTACATTGCATACTTTCTACTGATACTAAATTGCATTTCTATCTTTGAATACAAATCTGTTTCATGCGGAATAAAAGACATAACTTTATGGATTATGCAGAATTTCCAAAACAAACCATGGAATCAGTTATTAATACTAGAAATAAGAGGGTACTATACACACAAATCCTCAGGAAGGTTCAACCTGAACACACTGGTAATAGTCAAGAAGTCCACCAGACAAGCTGCCATCTGACACCACAAGGCTGGTCATAGAGTACTGAACTTCAATTAAAGACACTTACAAAAGAAAGAGATTATTTAAATATAATAACAAAACCAAAACAAACTTTAACATCCTACCTTCCCAGGTCAAAGGACATAGAAGATTCAGAAATTAACTAAACCTAGTAAATAATGTAAAACAGGGAATGACTCCCTTTCAAAAATGCTTTGGTTAATTTTAGCATCCTTCTGTTTAGCTGCTTAGCAACCCTTATCCTATGACCTTCTAAGCACCACCTACTTTTCAGAAGGATAATGAACAGAAACATCAAAAGAATTCACTTCTGTTTCCAAAGAATATATTTAACCAATTCTTATAGGAGTTAAATTTATATTAATTATGCTGAGCAAAATCCTAAAAGGGTAGCATTTTAAAACTTCATTAACTAGGACATTTCCTTAGCTGAAGGTGATAAATGATGTTAGCAAGCAAGCATAAGATAGCAAGCAAAGACTTCCTAACTGACCTCAGAAGTGGAATAACGCAACAGTTCAAAATTGAAGAGCAAAAACGACCTAAGGCAGCTACACTGTACAGTGCCTGGCACACAGCAGGTAACCAATAAACTGCTGTTGATCAGATGCTGGACTAATACGTGTAGGTTTATTTTCTTCCTTCAACACGCTGTACCTGTGTTGGATACAAATAAGGCCTTGGGAGTCTGCCCGAAGAAATTTAAAAGACCCTTCAATCAAAAGGTCGCTTGTTGGATGATGTAACTAGTTAGGAATGGATGCACTACCTGTACCAGCTCAATAAGACGCATGTTCCCCATCACATAACAAATACTTGTCTGCCATAAGGGCTTAGAGTCTGATTTTCTGATGAGAAATAAAGCAGTATCTAGAAAAACCCAGAGAATGATATTCCACAAAACGGTAAGCATCGGCAGCATTTCTTAAGAGTATTACACATCCAGCAAATCCTCTTTAAAAACAAGACATTCTAAAATGCAACCAGTTTAGCAGTATTTTTAAGACAAAGACAATGCAAGTTCATTAACCTAAAATGGAGCACAAGCTAAGCAAATAACTAAATCAAAGAGTTCTTCTCTCCTTTTCTTTTGTAAAAATGGGGGAAAGGTATTTTTTTAACACATTTAAAACTTGATTAAAGCCATTCAAATGTTTAATTCATCAGTGTAACCAAAGCTCAAAGCACATCAAAGCAGGACCCATCAGCGGGTACCCAGAAGGCTCCCTCCAAAGGGCGGAGGTAAACACATACACACACACACACACACCACCCCTAAAATTAGTGATTCTGTCTTTGTATAAATTACTTGTAGAGTAGCTCGAACCCATTCCTTCAGAAGTTCTGTGGACTCTTGAAGATAGCACAAAACTCAACGTTTGTTTTTCAAAGAGGTTTTAGCCAACACTTTGGCCTCTATCTAACTCAGACTTCCGGGTTGAAATATGTCTTAGAAACTATACCTGCCTACTTGAAAAAGCACCAAATCTAGAGGATGATTTTCATGGGTGTGAAAAAACAAAACTAAACCACATTCTTTTCTTGGCAGTTCTCTTTTCCCCACCTTCCACTTCAATTAAACTTATTTCAGAATCAACTCGCACACATGCAGGGTCCACTACATATATAAAGGGGAAAAAAAATATCAAAAATAATGGAGATGCACTAGCAACTCTGCCTTTGCAGAAATCATTTCTTCTTAAGACAGAAATTCCTCGCTATTTCCAGCAACACCATTCAACAGGCAAACTTTATTTCCACTGGCTTTTAAAGAGCTAAGCTTAAATCTAAACTCTAAGAGGGTTCAATTTTCTACTAATGAAAACCCCCGGACAGGTTTTTCAACATACCAAAACGTTATATTTTTTTATTCACCCTTTTGTCTCTCTCCACATCCACCACCATCACAAGCAGCAGCAGCAGGAGCATCCTCAAACGAAGAAAACCCCTCCAAAGTGCCCCGAATGTGTGCTGCTGCTGGCTCTGAAGCCGTGTAGAATTTCGTAATGGAATGTGAACTGCTCGTCCGGATCTGGGCTCACGTTCTATCTCCTAACCAGTAAGGAGCGAGGGAGGGCAAATCTGCTGAGCAAGGAGAAATACTTTCCTCCTCTTTTATAACCCATCACGGATGCACGGCGGCCGAGGGGCGCGAGCTGCACGCGGCGCCTGTCAAGCGGCCCGGGCCCGCACCCCGTGGGGTCCCCGCGTCCCCCAGCTCCCCGCCCCGCCCGGAGAGAAAGGTGGCCTCGCCCATCGGTGGGCTCGGCCGACGCGCCCCGCACTCACGCGCGGCCGCGGAGCAGGTCACATCCTCGACGCGCCCTTGGCCCGGTCCAGAAAACACGCCGCTTCCCAGGGAGGGGGTCGGCGACGGGAAGGACCTCCCCTGCTCCTTAGCAACCATTAAGGTCGCAGTTTCCTAAGAGACCGCGAGCGGGGAGGGGGCGCGGGGGGCCCGGCCCAAGGCTTGTGCGGGAAGTTGGGGGCGGGGGGGGCAGCAACAGGCCCCCTCCCCCCACCCAGCTAGACGCCGGGGGCCGGGATGGGAGGAGGAAGGGAAGCCCCAGAACTCGTGAAAAACTGGTCCAGCGGGCGGCGGACAAAAGTTTCCGAGCGCGCTCCACAGCTGGGCGGCGGAGCGGGCCCCGGCGGCCGGCCCCGCCTCGGATGCTCCCGGCCTCCTTCCTGTGCTCGTGACGGCGCCGAGCCCCCCACCCCCCCCGCCCGCGAGGCAGGCTAGCTCCACACCGAGGGCTCCCACGAAAACACTCACCCCGCCAACGGAAGGGCGAGGGAACAATACGTGCCCGCACGGCTAGGGCCCGGTCCCCTCCTCCCCAGGCCCCCCGGGGCGGTGGTCGGCGTGACCACGACCGCCAGCCGGGAACCCGCGAGGGCGCGGGGCTGCCCGCGGCCCCCTCCCGGCCGGCGCCGTCCGCCCGGGAGGTTCAAAGTCCGCAGAGCAGGGCGCGGCGGATGCTCCCACCGAGCAGCCCCGAGCAGGCACCCCCGCGCGAGCACCCCGGGCAGGCACCCCCGGATACCTTAGGGCGGCGGCGGGAGGGCGGGCGCCGTCATCTCCGCGCTTCCCGGCCCGAGAAGGACTCGAAAGTATGTAGGAGAAAAGTTTCCCCTCCCACATGGGGGGGAGGATGTCGAGGGAGAGAGGGCGGAAGATGGAGAGCAGCGCTGGGAAGATGTTTCTGGCCGGCGGTGCGCGCACCATCCGAGTCCCGGCGGTGCTGGTTAAAAATAAACTCGGCGGCGCGGGTCGGGCCGGATTCCTGCGCTCGGACGGCTAATATGGATGCGCATCAGGTCCTGCTGGCGGGGCGCTGCGGCGGCTCGCGCTGGGAGCTGGTTGGCAGAGCCGGCGGCTCGGGAAAGGGAAAAGAGCGGAGGAAGGGGAGGAGGAGGAGGAGGAGGAGGAATGGCCCGGCGCGCAGCCCGAGGGGAGAGGGCTGCCCCGCTCATCCCTGGCCGCCCCGCCGGCCCGAGCGCACGCTGCGCGGAGTGGGGCGTGCGGGTCCCCGGCTCCGGGACACACCGAGTTTCAAAAGTACAACGCGCTCTGCAGACTTCACCCTCCCCATCCCCAAAGTTCTTTAAAAGGTCGCTCCGGCTGTGCCCCAGACTTCTCGCTGCCGCCGGCGTACCGCGAGTCGGAATCCGGGGCACGTACTTACGGCCGGGCAGGACGCTTGGCTCCCTGGCATGATGCGTTGGGGACCGGTGGGCTTCAGGGAGAGACCGAGGAGAGATGCAAACTTGTTCCGGAAAAGGAATCAAAATGGCGTTTCTGGATGTGCAAAGTTCATCAACTCCGCAGTCACTTCCCCTCCTCCTCTTCTCCCACAGGGAGGGAGGTGGGCGAGGAGCTGGCGACCCCGGCGCCCCAGCCGTCGTCCCGGCCCCCGTCTCGGCCCCCCGCCCAGCTTCCTCGCCCGCACGCTCGGAGTCTCGCTCTCCCCCTCTCACCCTGATAAGTAGACACATCACGTGTTGCTCCTGCGAGTCTCCTGGGGACGTGTTACTGAGCGGCCGCGGCGGCGGCGGCGGCGGCGGCGGCGGCGCTCGGACTGGGGGGGGTGAGGGGGAGGACCGCCGCCCCCGCCCCGACTTTAGCAGGGTGACCGCAGTTGCCATCCCGGGATGGATGGAGGTGGAGTCCCCTCCCCACCCCCCACCGCAGCCCCAGGTTTGCCCTACGCCCTCCCAAGGCGCCCCGGGCCATGGGAGGGCCGGGCTGCCCGAGGGGAAGGGTCCGGGAGGCCGCGACTGGCTGCGATCCCAATCGTCCCGTTGCTCGCGGGCCACCTTATTCGGCCACCGCGCCCCCTCCCCTGCAGCCCCTCGCCGCGGGCGACTCCCCGCCCCCGGCTTTCCATCACTTCACTCCGCAGTTTCACTATTTTAACGGAGGCGGGGGAGACACGGTGATGCCTCGGAATTGCGAGAGGGGCACCTCAGAGGCGCTGGAGTTGGGGGGATGGGGGGCGTAGGGCTCGGGGCCCTGGCCTGACGCCGCCCCTCTGGGTCTCCGAGGCATCTGCGAGGGGGAGCCCCGCCCGCGCCGTTTCCTTTCCACGCGGTCCTCGCTCTGCATCCAGGTGGGGCGAGTGGATGATGGGGCAGGAGATTAAGGAGCAGGCGCTTCACCCCGCCCCTAGCTTCGAGCCGTTTCTCTCCCGGGGCCATCCTTCTTACTCGGGCTGCCGCCCTGAGTGTGCTCGCCGTCTAACAAACTCAACTCCGACCCGACTTTGGTCCCCCTCCCTTACCCACACCCCACAAAGGATGCTTCAGCGGGGAACTGCCGTGGCCGCCAGGGGCTGAGGACGGTTCCTGCCGCCACTGTGTCCCCACCCCGCGATGGAATGGCTGATGCTGTGTCATCCACGTCGCCCTCCAAGGCTTCAGAGAAGCCACACGCAGTATCTCTTTCTCTCAGAGGGCTCCTGTTTCAACTCTGAAAAGCAGGGGCCCTTCTCCGAGCCGCTCTCCATCTCTCCAGCTCCTGCCACCACGCTTCGCACTGGCTGCCTTGCCCCAAGTTATCACGGAGCCCAGAGAAACCAGGCCTGGGCTGTGCTTCCTCCATAAAGCAGCTGACATGTTTCCAACTGTTAATACTTCTCCTACCGAGGTTCTGAAAGGGGTCTGTTCTCAGCCTTTGGAAACATCTTCAGAAAGATAAGGATGATTGTGGTTGTTGAAAATAAACACGCCCCCCCCCCCCCGCCCCCGTAGTTCTAAAGAAGAATGTCCAAAGAATACTACAGTAGAATTAAGCGTTTGAGTCTGGTTAGGCAAGATGATGTTATGCAGGCAGAAAGCTGGCTACTTTCTATTTACTATGACCTTTGACCCTGGCTCCACCACACCAGCTCCTCTGAGAAGGCTTGAACACCATGGAGAGTTGTAAGCCCAACTGTGGGCCTTTAATTTGAGCCCTTCCATTGACCTCTAGTTTTCAGGGCTGCAGACAGAAGTGTCTGTCTCGGGATGGGTCCTGGCCAGAATAGAACTCTTTAGAACCAAGGAAAAGCAGCTGGACCCTTAGGTCTGATATGAGATAAGTAGGCTAAACCACTGCCCAAGAAGGAGCTGATTCAGCTGGCTGTTTCTCTGACTTTCAGTCATCAAAATTAAGTTTTCGGAACCTGTTATGTTTCCCAGGGTCTACTGTTTACTGAAGAAAACTCCATCCAGAGAAATTTTAGCGGTTGCATTTTTCTGAGCCTCCCCCAACCCCGCCGCCCCCAAATGTATTATCAAATGCTTTTTTGAAGACAGGCCAGTCGTGGAGGAGATGGGCAGGTCTCTAGACAGGAATAATAGTTCACATTGCCATCATAGAATAGGTGTCTTGTGTTTCTAAGTTGTAATGTGTTCCAATGAGGGCAGAGGAAGGGCCCTGTGGGGAATGCTACTTTATTTACTCACTTTGTCTCTGATTCAGGAGCTAGCCTTTCCTGGTCTCCCCATTCAGGGATAAGTTTTGAATAGGAAAAATATCAAAATTGGAATTTTATGCATAATTTAGCAAATCTCCAATGCTATATGAATTTTCATGACAAATTGCCACCTGTATAATGCCATCTAGAAAATACTGGCAACAAAAAAGATTGAAAACAGTTTTACTACAACTTTTTTTAATTTTTTTTTTTTTTTGGAGACAGAGCATCACTCTGTTGCCCGGGCTGGAGTTCAGTGGTGGGATCACAACTCACTGCAGCTTTGAATTCCTGGTCTCAAGTGATCCTCCACCTTTAGCCTCCCAAGTAGGTGGGACTACAGTGCATGTCACCACATCTAGTTAATTTTAAAAGTTTTAGTAGAGAGGAGGTCTTGCTATGTTGCCCAGGCTGGTCTCAGGCTCTAGGGCTCAAGTGATTCTCCCACCTTGGCCTCCCAAATTGCTGGGATTACAGGTGTAAGCCATTGTGCCCAGCCTATTACATGTTATATTTTCAAAATTGGAGTATCATGATGCTGGGCCCTGTGTTTCTCATTTCTAGCTAATTAATAAACTTGGCAGTCAAACCAGCTGTTCAGGAGTCATGCTATCTAAACCATGATGAGATGCCACTTCACACCCACTAGGATGTTTATAATAAAAAAACAGACAATAAGTGTTGAAGAGAGTATGGAGAAATTGAAACCTTCATACATTGCTGGTGAGAATGTACAATGATGCAGCCACTTTGAAAAATAGCTTGGCAGTTCCTCGAAATGTTAAACACAGAGTTGCCATATGACCCAGCAATTCCGCTCTTAGGTACATAAACAAGAAATGAAAACATATGTCCACATAAAAACTTGTACTCAAATATTCATAGCAGCACTATTCACAATAGCCAAAAAGTGGAAACAACTCAAATATTCATCAGTTGGTGGATGGATAAACAAAATGTGATACAGCCATACATAGACTGTTATTCAGCCATCAAAAGGAATGAAGTACTGATGCACGATACAACATGGATGAATCTTGAAAACATTATGCTAAATGAAAGAAGTCAGACCCAACAGGACAAATAATGGATGATTCCGTTTATATGAAATGTCCAGAATAGGCAAATTGATAGAGATGGAAAGTAGATTAATGGTTGCCTAGAACTGAGGACTAGGGAGAAGTAGGGATTGACTGCTAATGTGTGGGGTTTCTTTTTGGGATGCTAAAAATGTAGTAGGCCAGACTACCCCTCTCCCCACCTCCTCCCTCCTCCCTCCTCTTTCCACCTCTCCCCTTCCCCCTCCCTGTCTCCCACTCTCTCACTCCCTCTCACTCTGCCATATAAGAAGTATCTTGCTTCCCATTCACAAAACAACAGCAACAACAGTGTAGACCAGGCAAGGTGGCTCCTGCCTGTAATCCCAGCACTTTGGGAAGTCAAGGCAGAGGATCGCTTGAGGCCAGGGATTTGAGACCAGCCTGGCCAACGTGGTGAAACCCTGTCTCTACTAAAAATACAAAAAATTAGCCGGGCATGGTGGCGGGTGCCTGTAATCCCAGCTACTTGGGAGCCTGAGGCAGAAGAATCGCTTGAACCCAGGAGGTGGAGGTTGCAGTGAGCTGAGATCGCGCCATTGCACTCCCGCGAGACTCTGTCTAAAAAAGAAAAAAAAAAACATCCTGGCCAACATGGTGAAACCTCGTCTCTACTAAAATACAAAAAAAAATTAGTTGGGCATAGTGGTGTGTGCCTGTAGTCCCAGCTACTGGGGAAGATGAGGCAGGGGAATCCCTTGAACCCAAGAGGCAGAGGTGGAGATAGCAGTGAGCCAGGATCGCACCACTGCACTCCAGCCTGGCGACAGAACACAACACCATCTCAAGGAAAAATTAAAAAAAATTAAAAACTTAGCCAGACATGGTGGCATATGCTTATAGTCCCAGCTACTTGGGAGTCTGAGGCTGGAAAATCACTTGAGCTTGGTAGATCAAGGGTGCAGTGAGCTATGCTTGTGCCACTGCATTCCAGACTCAGCGACAGAGTGAGACCCTGTCTCAAAAAAATTAAAATTAATTAAAATTAAAGTGTTTTAAAATTGATTGTGGTTAGGGTACACAACTCTAAATATACTAAAAATCCATTGAATTGTACATTTTAAATGGGTGAATTGTATGGTATGTGAGTTATATCCCAATAAAGCTGAGCTGTATAGACATATATGGAATTGTGCTGGGTTCTGTAGTGGAGAACTGATACAAAAATGGGTAATTTATAATCTGTGCCTTAAAAGAGCTTGCAATCTGATCTCTGCATCCTCATGATGTAATCATGAAATAAAATAATATATTATATATTATATTATATATATTATATTATATATAATATTATATATTATATATATTATATTATATATAATATTATATATTATATGTTAATTAACATATAATATTATATATTATATGTTAATTAACATATAATATTATATATTATATGTTAATTAACATATAATATATATTAATATATATAATATATAATATAACATAAAACATATAATAAAAAACATTAAATACATACCAAATTCAGTTCAGAGCAAAGAGATCACTTTTTTTGAGACGTAATCTAACATATAATAAAAAAAATTAAATACATACAAAATCCAGGAGTTCAGAGCAAAGAGATCACTTCTTTTTTTTTCTTTTTATTTTTTTGAGACATAGTCTCACTCTGTTGCCCAGGCTAGAGTGCAGTGGTGCAATATCAGCTCACTGCAACCTTTGCCTCCCGGGTTCAAGCAATTCTCCTGCCTCAGCCTCCTAAGTAGCTGGGATTACAGGTACCCACCACCATGCCCAGCTAATTTTTGTATTTTTAGTACAGATGGGGTTTACCATGTTGACCAAGTTGGTCTCGAACTCCTGACCTCAAGTGATCCTCCCGCCTTGGCCTCCCAAAGTGCCGGGATTACAGGTGTGAGCCACTGTGCCCAGCAGAAATCACTTCTTTTTTTCTTTTCTTTTCCTTGTTTCTTTCTTTCTTTTTTTTTTTTTTGAGACAGAGTCTCACTCTGTTGCCCAGGCTAGAGTGCAATGGCGCAATCTCGGCTCACTGCAACCTCTGCCTTCTGGGTTCAAGCTATTCTACCGCCTCAGCCTCCTGAGTGGCTTGGATTACAGGCGCCCATCATCATGCCTGGCTAATTTTTGTATTTTTGTAGAGATGGGGTTTCACCATGTTGGCCAGGCTGATCTTTTTTCTTTTTTTCTTTTTGAGTTTCGCTCTTGTTGCCCAGGCTGGAGTGCAATGGTGCGATCTCGGCTCACTGCAACCTCTGCCTTTCGGGTTCAAGCGATCCTCCTGCCTCAGCCTCCTGAGTAGCTGGGATTACAGGCATGCGCCACCATGCCCAGCTAATTTTGTATTTTTAGTAGAGACAGGGTTTCTCCAGGTTGGTCAGGCTGGTCTTGAACTCCTGCCCACCTCTGCTTCCCAAAGTGCTGGGATTACAGGTGTGAGCCACTGCCCCTAGCCAAGATCAATTCTAAGAAGAGTGATCAGGGAAAGCTTCATGGAAGAGAAAGTAATGGATTTGGGCCATGGAGAATGACTAGAAATTCAGTAGATGAAGATTGGGAATTAAAAACAGCAGCAGATACAAGAGCACGATTGTAACAAATTATGGGTCCCACTCGGAGACCAGTAAGGATTACAGCTTGGCTGAATATAACATTTACAGGAATAGATGGGTGATGAGACTAAAAGGTAAATAAGCTGAGCCTGTCCCACGAAAACTTCTGAATATTGGCTGTGGAAAAGCTTAGGTATCAAGGGCCTGAACTAGGGTGAGGGTAGAGGAGGTCAAGAAGCACTTCAGAGGAAGAACTCACAGAGAAGCAAGCGGTGGACCCATAATGGAGGGGGAACGAGGGATGGGGGGTAAGGTGCAGAAATCAGGGCCAAGATGATGCCTGGGTCTTAGCTAGGTAGCTGACAGAAGGACAAAAATGAGAAAGTCAGGGAGAAGGGGAACCCATTTGAGGTGGAAGGTGACAGAGTAGGTGATATTGAGCCTGGAGGTAGAAATAAATGGACAACAGAGCTAAGCTGTGGAAGAGGATCATGAAGAAAAAAGGTGTGGATGCTGGAGAAGGCCACTTGGATGAGGTCTCACAGCTGTGTAGGTGTCCCCAGGCAGAGAGGAGGGGGCAGGGCACTCCAGCCAGAGTGGGCAGGGAGCTGCAAGCACAAGGGCACAGAGGCGTAAAACAAGGTCAGTTTCCTGAACTGCAAATACCACCCTCTGGAGCTGGAGCAGCAGAGGGAGGAGGGGAGGCAGCCAGAGATGGGGCTGTAGGAGTAGCCAGTGGGCCAGATCG
The DNA here is from genome assembly GCF_000001405.40 of Homo sapiens. Lineage (NCBI taxonomy): Eukaryota > Metazoa > Chordata > Mammalia > Primates > Hominidae > Homo > Homo sapiens. The sequence goes on along the minus strand of NC_000006.12, from coordinate 7,101,413 downwards.
CCAAGAGCGCTATGCACAGCGGACTTGGACGTTATCCAGCAGTCAGGCCGTGAAAGGGCTCACGGAGGAGGGTACCGTGGAGGATGGTCTGAAGGATGGCAGGACAAGGCAGGAGGGGGAGTTAGGAATTAATAGTAATAGAAGAATTTAGTTAAGCAAGAATAAAGACCTAGGGAGGCACTGGCTGTAGGGGTGGAAGAGGCACTGGCTGTAGAGGTGGAGAGGAATGGATTCATCTGGGACATAATTAGGCCATAGAATCAACAGAACTTGACCAACTGACTGTGAGAGGAAAGGAAACAATCCTTCTGGAGCACTGACCAGGGTGTGTGGCAACAAAAGAGGTGAAACTGCCGCAGCAGTTAGCGTGACCCGTGGCAGTGCAGGAAGGACCAGAGACAGGAGATGTCAAGGGGACAGATCCGCAAGGCTTGGTCCCCGTTGGTTGTGGAGTGAGAAGTCATGGAGTTAAGAAGGCCGATTCTCTGGGCTTGGCCTTAGATAACTGGATAGAGGGTGTGTCCATTCACCAGCGGCATGAGTCGTGGATGGGGGTGCGACTTGTGGAATTGGAGAGGAGGGGAACTCAGGAGGGAGGCCTAAAGACACGTCTAGGTAAAGAGACCATGGACAATGACAGGCTAGGGCAGGACCCAAGGAAATGGCTGCAATTCAGTGGAAAAAGAAGAGGGAGTGGTAAGAGCTCCTTCTCTTTTGCCTCTAAAGAAGCAGAACAGCTAAGGGAAAAGGTGGCCCACAGTGTTAAAACACAGAGAAACCACACAGAATGTGGGATAATAGATGCTGGAGACTTGGAGGGGTGAGAGGGTGGCAGGGGGTAAGAGTACTTAATGGTACAATGTACATCATGCGGGTGATGGTTACACTAAAAGGCCACACTTCACCACTGTGCAATATATCCATGTACCAAAACTGCACCTATACCCCTTAAACTTATGCAAAAAGCAAACAAACAAAGAGAAACCAAGGCAAGTGGCAGAAACAAAGGCTGAGAGCTGAGAAAGTGAGTTCATGTGAGTATGGTAGGCAGGGGCCAGAAAGCAAGGGGTTAAACAGTGAGTAGAAGAAGAGGAAGTGAAGGCCCTGTGCTCTGGCGTGAACTTAGGTGAGAAAGGAAGGGAAAGAAAGAAAAATAACAATAGCAATGACCATTAACAGTTAGCATTTATTGAAGGGCTGGCTCTGCCCAGGCCCCGCTCCAGGGCCTCCTCTGTATAGTCTGGCTCTGTGCCCTCCACCCTCACTCAGGTGGGTGCCATTACCACCCCCATTTTGCAGCTGATGAAACTGAAGCAGAGAGCTTCCTCAACTGCCCAACATCTCCCAGCTGGGAAGGGGTAGCACTGAGAGGCAAACCAGGCAGCCTGACCCTGGAGCCCACACTTTTTTATTGTCACTGTCATGGTTGCTGTTGTTAGCCTATTAAGAATTAAATAGTTTACTAATTTAAAAAATATCTACCACAAAAATTAGCTGGGCATGGTGGCATGCGCCTGTAATCCCAGTGACTCGGGAGGCTGAGGCAGGAGAATTGCTTGAACCCGGGAGGCGGAGGTTGCAGTGGGCCAAGATTGTGCCATTGCACTCCAGCCTGGGCGACAGAGTGAGACTCCATCTCAAAAAAAAAAAAAAAAAAAAAAACCTACTTAATTGTCTTGACTAATCTCAATAAAACCCTCTTGATTGGAGTTTTGCAGTAGGGCCATTGTTGTCTGTGCAGTTGTTTTACAAGGATTTAATTAGAAGGATAAGTTAAGTGCACATTTTTAAGTATTGCTAATTTGGTTTATAATCACCCCTCCCTCACATGAACATAAGGTACAAATCTCTTTCTGTTCTCCAAGTATTACGTTCCATATGTGCAGAATAAATTCCGAAGCTGTAGCTGGGTATTTTGTAGATTCCAACATGCCTAGCATAGCAAAAGGCTAAAGATGAACTAGCACAGTAGAGTCCACATTTTCAGTGTCTACACCAGTGGTTCTCAACCAGGTGATTCTGAACCCTAGGGTATGTTTGGCAATGTCTGGAGACATTTTTTGGCTGTCACAAGCTGGGGGAAATGTGCAAATGGCATTTAGTGAGTAGAGGCCAGGGATGCTGCTTAACATCCTACACTGCATAGGGAAAGCCCTCCACAGCAAAGAATTATCTGGTCGCAAAGGTTAATAGTGTCGGGGTTGAGAAGCCCTGCTCCACAGTGCCTTGGAAATTATCTCTAGGAGCTGGGTGTGGTAGTGCACACCTATAATCCCAGCTACTTAGGAAGGTGAGGCAGAAAGATCTCTGAGCCCAGGAGTTTAAGACCAGCCTGGGCAACAACATAGCAAGACCCCATCTCTTAAAAAAAATTATCTCTGTGAGTATTAGAATGTGGAGAAGGGGTTTTAGAAGGGTTAAACCACCCAAACAATTTATGTCAACAGGAAAGGAATGCAGACCCAGAGAGGGAGCGTATAGAGATGTATGAAACAACGTTGGAAGGGAGGTGAGAGAGAGTCTATGGCACAGGAGGAAAGGCAGAGATCAGCCTAGGAAGGAAAAGAGGAATACTTCATCTTCTAAGATGAGAGAGAAGGGGGAAAGAATAGTAGGAACACACTGAGAAATATGTGAGTGGGAAAAGGTATCTGCCGGCCTTGACTGGGTACGGCAGCATTGAGGAGAGTAGGGGTGGGGCCCGGGGCTGAGGGTAAGGAGAGAAGAAGGCAGGAACTGGTGGTGGAAGACCAGCTGTTTCAGCTTCCTTTCAATGCTATGGGCACCCCAGAGGGGAGGAAACTTACAGTGGGAATGATGACTGGCAGCTGGAAATTCAAATCAGCAAGGCAGACACAAAAGTGTCCAGAAGAGCCACAGAAGATGTCCAGAGGTTTCTGGATGTGATTGGGTGCCAACGTGGGCATGCCCAGGTCCAAATGGAGCCAGGAGGATAAGGCGGGAAGGGGCTGAGACCTTGAGAACTGGGAGTGGTCGAGGGGGCCTGAAGATGTGGAAGGAGGCAGGCTTAGTGGCTGGAGGGGTGGCAGGGGGGTGAAGCAGGTGCAGGGAAAGCAGGAGGGGTGAGGGTGGGAGACACAGGGTCAGAGCCCTTGAGGGGCAGATGCCAATGACTCTAAGATGGAGCAGAAATCCCAATCACTGGGCTTTCTGGGAGGTGGAGCAGATATGAAGCCTGAATAGGACTTGGTCCCTGACAGAGATGGTCTTGTCTCCAAAAATGAGGAAGCGGAGGGGGTGAGAGGAAAAGTATGGAGCAGCTACTTAGGCTTTTGTGAAGGAGGTGTGTCTTAGAGATTAGAAGAGGGGAAGAGGCAGGTAATCAACAGATGACCCCGGCTTTACCGTAGGTGTGATGGGCTGAAGTGTTCCCCAAAACCCATATGTTGAAGTTCTAAACCCCAGGACCTCAGAAAGTGACTGTAGTTAGAGAGAGGGCCTTTATTGATTGATTGATTGATTGAGACGGAGTCTTGCTTCGTCGCCCAGGCTGGAGTGCAGTGGTATGATCTCGGCTCACTGCAACCTTCACCTCCCAGGTTCAAGTGATTCTCCTGCCTCAGCCTCCTGAGTAGCTGGGATTACAGGTCCCCACCACCATGCCCAGCTAGGGTTTCACCATGTTGGACAGGCTGGTCTTGAACTCCTGACTTCAGGTGATCCACCCACTTGGGCCTCCCAAAGTGCTAGGATTACAGGTGTGAGCCACTGCGCCTGGCCAAGAAAGGGCTTTTAAAGAGGGGATTAAGGTAAAATGAAGTCTTTAGGGTGGGCCCTGATTCAATGTGGTCTCCTTATCAGAGGAGATGAGGACACAGATACAAAAATAAGGGACGGCCAGGCGCGGTGGCTCATGCCTGTAATCCCAGGCGTGATTTGGGAGGCCACGAGGAGCAGATCACGAGGTCAGGAGATCGAGACCATCCTGGCTAACACGGTGAAACCCTGTCTCTACTAAAAATACAAAAAATTAGCTGGGTGTGGCAGTGTGTGCCTGTAATCCCAGCTAATCGGGAGGCTGAGGCAGGAGAATCGCTTGAACCCGGGAAGCGGAGGTTGCAGCGAGCTGAGATCGTGCCACTGCACTCTAGCCCAGGTGACAGTGTGAGACTCCATCTCAAAAAAATAAATAAATCAATAAATAAAAAAGGGACGACCACATAAGGGCACAGAAGACAACCATCTGCAAGCCAAAAAGAGAGGCCTCAGGAGATGGACAACCCTGTCCACACCTTGATTTTGGACTTCCAGCCCCCAGAACTGTGAAGAAATAAAATCTCAGCTGTTTGGCCAGGCAGGATGCAGATATAGTATACATAGTATTGTATATATACTTTTTTTATAGTGTATATAGTATACAAAGTATTGTAAGGCTGGGCATGGCAGCTCATGCCTGTAATCCTAGTACTTTGGGGAGGCCGAGGCGGGCAGATCAGGAGGTCAAGAGATCGAGACCATCCTGGCCAACATGGTGAAACCCTGTCTCTACTAAAAATACAAAAATTAGCTGGGTGCGGTGGCACATGCCTGTAGTCCCAGCTACTTGGGAGGCTGAGGCAGGAGAATCACTTGAGCCAGAAGGCAGAAGTTGCAGCGAGCAGAGATCACCACTGCACTCCAGCCTGGTGACAGAGCGAGACCCCATCTCAAAAACAAAAAACAAAAAAAAAGTATCGTATATACACTTTTTTAGTGTATATATATAATATGTATATATACTTTTTTAGTGTATATATATAATATGTATATATACTATGTACATAATTGTATATATACTACGTACATAAGCATACAAATACATACACCTTGTATATACATGTAGATGTATTATAGTGTATTATAATACATATATAAAATATGTATGCATGTGAAAGATACATGTATGCAACATGCACACATATAATGTGTATACATATGTATATATCTAATATATGTACATATATATGCAAAATATGTTTGTGCATATATATTTTTTTCAGAGATGGGGTTCCACTCTGTCACACAGGCTGTAGTGCAGTAGCCTGATCATAGCCAGCTACAGCCTCAAATGCCTGGACTCAAGCAATCCTCCTGCCTCAGTCTCCCAAGTAGCTAGGAATACAGGCATGCACCACTACATCTGGCTAATTTTTAAATTTTTTATAGAGAAGGGGTCTCGCTATATTGCCCAGGCTGATCTCAAACTCCTAGCCTCAAGTGATCCTCCCACCTTGGCCTCCCAAAGTGCTTGGATTACAGGCATGAACCACTGCACCAGCCCTTCATATTATATATTTTTAAATTAGATGTTTTGTTCTCACTTATAAGCAGAAGCTAAATAATGTGTATACACAAACGTAAAGTGTGGAATAATAGATACTGGAGACCCAGAAGGGTGGGAGGGGAGTGAGGAATGAGAAATTCCTTAATGGATACAATGTACACTATTTGGGCAATGGTTACACTAAAAGCCCAGAGTTCACCACTATGCAATATTTCCCTATATCAAAACTGCACTTGTATGTACCCCCTACATTTATACAAAAGAAAAAAAAAAGGAAGAAAAAGAAAATGAGCTGCTTAATAGTCATATTTTGCAATCAAATACATGTACTTTAAACCAATAAAAGTGTTAAGGTTACATCAAATTGCCTTTTTTTTTTTTTTTTTTTTGAGACCAAGTCTTACTCTATTGCCCAGGCTGGAGTGCAGTGGCATGATCTCAGCTCACTGCAACATCCGCCTCCTGGGTTCAAGCAATTCTCCTGCCTCAGCCTCCCAAGTAGTTGGGACTACAGGTACGTGCCACCACAACAGGTTAATTTTTTGTATTTTTGGTAGAGACAGGGTTTCACTATGTTGCCCAGGCTGGTCTTAAACTCCTGAGCTCAAGGTGAGCTCAAGGAGCCACCCACCTTGGCCTCCTAAAGTGCTGGGATTACAGGCATGAGCCACTGCGCCCGGCCAACAATGGCTTATTTTGCAGAAATATGTAAACCTGAGTGATGTGACTCCATGGTTTGTCGATTTGGTCCCATTATTTCAGAGGAACTTGGGTTAAGTGCTGATTTTCACAGGATTATTTCAATAAAGAACCCGAGGTTTACAGAGAATAACATGCACAATTTAAACAGCTGCTAAGTGGTGGAGCCAGGATTGGAATCCAAGTCCTCTGAGTCTACAGCCCAGGTTCTTTCTGTGCACTGTATGGAATGACAGAAAAATTTAAATCCTGATCAGGCTGTAATCCAAGTCCGTAAATTCTGAGAACAATAGATGGTGTTGAGGGGAGAGGGGATGAATGCTTCCAGATATTAATCCTGTGATAAGTCTAGAATGTACATATTGTACACATACCATATACTAGGGTACAGTGCTGGTGCAACAACAGATGGAGCAATGGGATCAAACAGAAAACCTAGAAGCGTTTGGTGTATGGTAAAATGCACTTCATATCAGTGGGGGAAAGAATAAAATTAGTCAATATATGTGGAACAATTTTAGAGGAAAAAAATTCACACCAAATACCCACTTTGCACTAAAGATTAAAACTTATGGCTGGGTGCAGTGGCTCATGCCTGTAATCCCAGTACTTTGGGAGGCCGAGACAGGCAGATCATGAGGTCAGGAGTTCCAGACAAGCCTGGCCAACATAGTGAAACCCTGTCTCTACTAAAAATACCAAAAATTAGCCAGGCGTGGTGGCAGGCACCTGTAATCCCAGCTACTCGGGAGGCTGAGACAGGAGAATCGCTTGAACCTGAGAGGCAGAGGTTGCAGTGAGCTGCGATCATGCCACTACACTCCAGCCTGGGCAACAAGAGCAAAACTTCATTTCAAAAAGAATAAAAGAAAAAACAAAAAAACTTACTCCAGGCCAGGCACGGTGGCTCACTCCTGTAATCCCAGCACTTTGGGAAGCTGAGGCGGGAGGACTACTTGAGCTCATGGGTTCAAGACCAGCCTGGGCAACGTGGCAAAACCCCATCTCTATCAGAGATACAATCCTAGCACTTTGGGAGGCAGAGGCGGGTGGATCATTTGAGGTCAAGAGTTCGAGACCAGCCTGGCCAATATGGTGAAACCATGTCTGTACTAAAAATACAAAAATTAGCCAGGCATGGTGGTGCATGCCTGTAGTCCCAGCTACTTGGGAGGCTGAGGCAGGAGAATCACTTGAACCTGGGAGGCAGAGGTTTCAGCGAGTCAGAATCAGGCCATTGCACTCCAGTCCAGCCTGGATGTCACAGTGAGACTCCATCTCAACAACAACAACAACAACAACAACAGCAACAACAACAACACAGAATTAGCCAAGTATGGTGGTGCACACCTGTAGTCCCAGCTACTCAGGAGGCTGAGGTGGGAGAATGTCTTAAGCCAGGAGATGGAGGCTGCAGTGAGCTGAGATTGTGCCACTGCATTCCAGTCTGGGTGACAGAGCCAGACCCTCTCACAAAAACAAAACAGTTACTCCAAGTGGATTAAAGAGCTAAATGTAAAATATGAAATGATTAAAGAACCAGAACAGGCCGGGCACCGTGGCTCACGCATGTAATCCCAGCACTTTGGGAGGCTGAGGCAGGCGAATCACCTGAGGTCAGGAGTTCCAGACCAGCCTGGCCAACATGATGAAACCCCGTCTCTACTAAAAATACAAAAATTAGCTGGGCGTGGTGGCGGGTGCCTGTAATCCCAGCTACTCGGGAGGCTGAGGCAGGAGAATCACTTGAATCCAGGAGGCAAAGGTTGCAGTGAGCCAAGATCACACCACTGCACTCCAGCCTGGGTGGCAGGCAGAGTAAGACTCCTTCTAAAAAAAAAAAAAAAAAAAAAAAAAAAAGGAACCAGAACAAAAGTAGGTAAATATCTATCTGATCTTTGAGGGTGTGGAAGCGTTTTTGAGGAAAAAGAAATAAACCACAAAAGAAAAGATATGTATTTTCATTTACATAATTCTAGACATACTACTACAGGTTAAATTAAAATGGAAATTACAAACTAGGAAAAAACATATTTACAGACAGAATTAATTAAGAGCCTCAGTATAAGAAAAGCTTCACTTTATTGATCCCTTATTGGGTATAAGACATGCTAAGCACTTTGCATAAAATATCTCATCATAATCCTATAAAGGAGGTACAATTAGTACCACTTTTTTTTTCTTCTTGAGACGAAGTCTCACTCTGTCGCCCAGTGGCGTGATCTCAGCTCACTGCAACCTCCGACTCCCTGGTTCAAGTGATTCTCCTGCCTCAGCCTACTGAGTAGCTGGGATTACAAGGTGTGCACCACCATGCCTGGCTAATTTTTGTATTTTTAGTAGAGACAGGGTTTCACCCTGTTATCCAGGATGGTCTCCATCTCCAGACTGCGTGATCCGCCCATCTCAGCCTCCCAAAGTGCTGGGATTACAGGCGTGAGCCACCGAGCCCAGCCCAATTTTTTTTTTTTTTTTGAGATAGAGTCTCACTCTGTTGCCCAGGCTGGAGTGCAGTGGCACAATCTCAGCTCACTGCAACCTCCACCTCCCGAGTTCAAGTGATTCTCCTGCCTCAGCCTCCTGGGTAGCTGGGATTACAGGCACGCACCACCACACCCCACTAGTTATTGAATTTTTAGTAGAGATGGGGTATCACCATGTTGGCCAGGCTGATCTTGAACTCCTGACCTCAGGCGATTCACCCGCCTTGGCCTCCCAAAGTGCTGGGATTACAGGCATGAGCCACCACACCCAGCCTAGCTCAACTTTTGAAAATAAAGAAACAAACACCAAATGGCTATGAAGTAATGTGCCCAGGGTCTCATCACTAATAAGCAGCAGAACAGAGATTTCAACATAAAACTTTCTGAGTTCCATGCTTTTGATCTTAATTATTATGCTCTACTCACTCTTACAAATCAACATGGAAAATAACACCTCAATTGCAAAATGAGCAAAGGATGAGAAGGAACAATTTATGAAAGAAGACATATAAATACGAAAGAAACACCTTTTTAATGTTCAATCTCAAAGAAATGCAAATTAAAACAGGTAGTAAGATTTTTTTTCTTCTATCAAATTTTTGCCTCCCAAATGTGCTGGGATTACAGGTGTGAGCCACCATGCCCAACCAGGATTATACATTCTTAAAAATGTATAACTCGGCCAGGCGCAGTGGCTCACGCCTGTAATCCCAGCACTTTGGGAGGCTGAGGCGGGCGGATCAAAAGGTCAGGAGATCGAGACCATCCTGGCTAACACAGTGAAACCCTGTCTCTACTAAAAATACAAAAAATTAGCCTGGCTTGGTGGCGGGTGCCTGTAGTCCCAGCTACTCGGGAGGCTGAGGTGGGAGAATGGCGTGGACCTGGGAGGCAGAGCTTGCAGTGAGCTGAGATCGCGCTGCTGCACTCCAGCCTGGGTGACAGAGCGAGACTCCATCTCAAAAAAAAAAAAAAAAAAAAAAAAAAAAAGGCATAACTCGGCCAGGCTCACGCCTGTAATCCCAGCACTTCGGGAGGCTGAAGTGGGTGGATCACCTGAGGTCAGGAGTTCGAGACCAGACTGACCAACAAGGAGAAACCCCGTGTCTACTAAAAATACAAAATTAGTTGGGCGTGGTGGCGCATGCCTGTAATCCCAGCTACTCGGGAGGCTGAGGCAGGAGAAATGCTTTCCCGGGAAGCAGAGGTTGCGGTGAGCCGAGATTGCGCCATTGCACTCCAGCACTCCGTCTCAAATAAATACATAAATAAATAAATGAAAAATGAAAATGTATAACTCAGTCAGCCACTCAACTTCTAAGAAGAAAAAATTCTAGAAGCTATCTTAAAGAGATACATACTATTTATATAAGAATGATTGTCATTAGATTATTTGCCAGCATGAAAAACTGGAAACAAGCTAAATGTCTACTAACAGAGTTTTGGAACATAAATTTAAATGTATTCACATGATGAAAAATGACATGCTAACCATTAACAATCATAAGGTGTAAGGTTATTTGAAATTGGGAATTTTCAAAATACAGTAAGAGAAAAAAAGCATCTTACATAACTGTATGCGCTGTTTTTATTTTTTAATTTTAATGTTTAATTTTTTTTGAGGCTGAATCTCACTCTGTCGCCCAGGCTGGAGTGCAGTGGCATGATTTCGACTCACTGCAACCTCCACCTCCTGGGTTCAAGCAATTCTCCTGCCTCAGCCTCCTGAGTAGCTGGGATTACAGGTGTGTGCCACCACACCCAGCTAATTTTTGTATTTTTAGTAGAAACAGGGTTTCGCTATGTTAGTCAGGGTGGTCTCAATCTCCTGACCTCAGGTGATCCGCCCGCCTCGGTCTCCCAAAGTGCTGGGATTACAGGCGTGAGTCACTGCTCCAGCCCTGGCTAATTTTTGTATTTTTTTTTAATAGATAGGGTTTCGCCATGTTGCCCAGGCTGGTCTCAAACTCCTGGGCTCAAGCAATTCACCTGCCTTGGCCCTCCCAAAGTGCTAGGATTACAGGTGTGCACCACCGCACCCAGCTAATATGTTACTTTTATATCAAGAAAACAGTTATTATTAAAATATTAATAAGCTTTAACCAGAAGAGTAACTAGTTTAAGATTATAGAGTTACTTAAAACAAACCTATCCAATCCGTGACCTGCAGGCCCCATATGCCACAGGACGGCTTTGAATGAAGCACAACATGAATTCGTAAACTCAGCCGGGCGCGCGTGGCTCACGCCTGTAATCCCAGCACTTTGGGAGGTCGAGGTGGGTGGATCACTTCAGGTCAGGAGTTCGAGACCAGCCTGGCCAACATGATGAAACCCCATCTCTACTAAAAATACAAAAATTAGCCAGGTGTGTGGTGAACACCTGTAATCCCAGCTACTTGGGAGGCTGAGGCAGAAGAATCACTTGAACCCGGGAGGCGGAGGTTGCAGTGAGCTGAGATGGTGCCACTGCACTCCAACCTGGGCAACAGAGCGAGACTCGTCTCAAAACAACAACAACAACAACAACAACAACAACAACAAACCCCAAATTCGTAAACTTTCTTAAAACATTATCAGAATTTTTTTTTTTTGCAATTTTTTTTAAGCTCATCAGCTATCGTTAGTGTTAGTGTATTTTATGTATGGCCCAAGACAATTCTTCATCTTTCGATGTGGCTCAGGGACACCAAAGGATTGGGCCCCCCGACTTAAAACTTAAATATTCCATAGTTGAATTATTCATGGGAATCAAAGATAAAAATGTGCCTGTAGGACACAAACCAGATATAAAAGTAAGGTACTAATTTCTATAACAGAAAGAAACTGGTGGTTTGGCCAGTAAAAGGAAGATGTCACCTAAAACCCATCCCCAGGCAAATTAAATTAATTTCCTTTCCATATTCAAATCCCTAAAAAATACTTATAAAGACTTCACACATGAAAAAAAAATTCATGAGGGTCTGAAAGCGAAGCACACACACACAAATCCACTTCATAATGAACAATCTAAAAAGAAAAAAAAGTGCTTCACTCATGAGCCTGAAGTCAGTGACAAAAAAAAAAATAAAATAAAGACTTCACACAGACAGGATAAGATTGATCCTACATCTCTTCCTTCTTAGGTAACATTAATACTATAATTTACAAATAAAGTTGTTGTAATTGTATAAATCTTCCAAGATAACTGATTTCTAATTTAAAAACACTTAAAAAGAAAGAACTGAAATATACTCTCTAACCTATAAAAAGTATCAATTTCAAGCTATGTCAATATTATACTTAATGGTAAAAAGCTAGAGGCATTCCTTTTAAAATCAGAATAAAACTCCCCTGGAATGAATATGTTCACATAATTGTAGAGTATTGTCCCACAAGTTTTTCTGGTGAATACAATATGACATGAAATGGATGTGAGAGATTTAAATATTGGAAAGAAAAAGTTAATATTATCATTAATTACAGATTATATCATTGTGTAACCAGAAAATTCAAGGAAATTAATGGAAATTATTTAAAGAGAAATCTAACTGTAGTAGCCATTATTTATTGAATTCCTGTATGTAAAACACCATACTAAAGTTTTCTCAGTGTCATGCATCTGGTAAGTGGCAGAGCTGGGATTCAAACCCAAGTCTGACTGACTACAAAGACTGTGTTCTTTTGAATATCTTATTGCTTTGCTCTGTAAAGTGGACAGTTACAACACATACTCACAGACACAAACACACACACACTCCTATAGGAAGGCAATAACCATTACAAAAATACAATTTTAACACCTCATTCACAAAGCAACAAATTCAGGAAGGTTTGTCTACAACGAATAAATGAAAAACAACAAACCTAGACCTACATATAAGAAGAGAGATGAAGGAAGATTTAGATAGAAAGACCAAAAGTTTATTTTTAAGAAGTTCATTCTACATTAATTTATATCTTAAATGCAACTCCAATCAAAACCCTAACTGGATAAAATATTGTACAGGGAGAAATATAACAAAAATAATTCCCAAGTACATCTGAGGAAAACAAGCAGATGAGAATAGCAAATAAAATTTTCCTGAAGAACTATAGAAAGGAGTATTAGATATTAATACTCTTATAAATCTATAATAAAAGAGTATGGGAGCATGCAAGAAAAGCCAAATGAGACCCCACCTCACACCTATCAGGTGCCTATTATAAAAAAAAAAAAAAAAAGAAAATAGCAAGTGTTGGCAAGGCTCTAGAGAAATATAAACCTTTAAACACTGCTGGTGGGATTGTAACATGCTGTAGACTTTATGGAAAGTATGGCAGGTCTTCAAAAATTAAAAATAGAATTGCCATATGATTCAGCAATTCCACTTCTAGATATATACCCCAAAGAACTGAAAGCAGGGACTTGAAGAGACATCTGTACACCCATGTTCGTAGCAGCACTATTCACAATAGCCAAAAGGCAGAGAAGCAACTGAAGTGTCCATCAACAGATGAATGGATGAACAAAAAATGTGACCTATCCATACAATACAATATTATTCAGCCCTAAAAAGAAAGGAAATTCTGACACATGCTACAAGTGGATGAACCTTGAAGACGTTAGCTCAGTGAAATAAGCCAGTCACAAGAGGAAAAACATTGTGTGATTCCACTTATATGATGTACCCAGAGCACTCCAATTTAACAAGACAGGAAGTAGAATGGCAGCTGCCAGGGGCTGGGGGTGGGGAATGGGGAGTTTGTGTTTAATGGGTACAGAGTTTCAGTTTGGGAAGATGAGAAAGTTCTGGAAATGGGTGGTGATGATGGTTGTATCACACTGTGCATATATATACTTAATGCCACTGAACTGTATACTTAAAAATTGTTAAGATGCTCAATTTGTATGTAATTTATATTTTACCACACTTTTTTAAAAATTGCCACATGACTGCTGAAGGCACCAGTCACATCTAGTATTTCGTTCAAAGATGCACCTTGCACTCAGAGCATCCCAGTGATACAGCACACAGCTGTGGCTGGGCAAATGGGATGTCCACAGTACCGTAGCCAGTTCTACATACCTAGCTGAGAGCAGGGTGATACCTGCTTCTCAGGCTTCTTCTCATGACTCAAACCAAAGACCACGGGACGCCACAGGAAACCGAATGCTGGAACCATAAAACAACGCAGAGCAATTTCTTTATTGCCATCTCCTCAGCTTAGAACTTTTCACAGAAGTAATTTATGAAGGGCAAAGTTCTCAGCCCATGGAACTCCAGGGGTTTGGCTTATCTGGTGCATAGAGAGTTCTTTCCTGTTTCACAGAGAACACTGGAGGAGCTTTTCTGTGGAGCTGTGAAGGATGACACCATGTCATAAATGAAAGGTGAAAATGAGTACGCCTGAGACGTCTGCCCTGAGTACTTGCTTCAACAGTCTAAGCTCCAGTTTCAGGGATTATTTTGAGAACTTAATTTAGCTGTAGTCAAACATGCCCATTTGTAAGGGGCCTAAATAAGTCACCTGTCTTTAAGCCCAAGGTCTGAAGCACCATTCAGCTCCTCCAGCATTGTTTGCAATACAAAGATACAAGCACACTTTTCTTTTTAAAATCTGGTCCAATGGCTCTCTGAAGCTGCCTTTAGTCTTCTAAAGGCTCTTTGGCCACCTACTGGATTTTTTCAGTGCCAGAGCTGGGCAGAAAAAGAGCAACTTACTGCCCTTGTTCAAAGGAAAGCGAGAAGAGTTGCAGACTGGAAGCTAGACAGACTTTGTTATTCAGTACCCTCAGGGATTTGCAAGAGAATACCTCAGACACAGTCTGTCACTACCCTTCTCTCCAGGAAAAGCCAATTATTTCTCCAACCTAAGGAGTCCGGCACGAATGGAAAAGCTTCTATGACATCTTTATTGTGGGCAAAAGGAGGGAAAAAGAAAAGTGACAAAATTAAAGTATTTTGCTTATTTTTTGTAAGTTACCAGAGGAAAGATGTTTAAATGACTTGCCAGTTTTTTTCCCCCCTCATATTTAAAAAAGGATTATCAGCTACTTTCACTTTCTAATGAACAGTTCTAGTCTTCTAAAGGAATTCTGTGTGGGACATTTAATTTAAACTGAAATCATTCTGATTAATAAAAAGAGGTGGAAACCTCCTGTTCTTTTTTTTTTTTTTGTATCGAACACGTGAATTCTGTTAGATGTGGCCCTTGAGATCAGAGAGCGAAGCTAGAAAAAAATGGAAGTTACGACTCATTCAGGAAGAACACACTGAAAGTGAAAGATTCATTAAGAATGCGTCTTTAATTCTCAGATAGTGCAGGGGAAGAGGAGCAGGCGCACAGATGGAAGCTGAGGAAGGCTGGGCTGACGGGGTCGCTGTGGGTGCAGCCAGGGTGTAGGGTGTGCTGGAAACTCATCAGAGTCATTTGAGCAACCTCGGTCATGGTTGTGGACATCAGGCTTCCAAAACTACAATTTTTCAAAATCAGATCAGAGTCTGAGAGGTGCTGGTAGTTAGGGACTGTGCCTTAGGTACTGACCCTGAAAGGTGGTGCTGCCTTGAAGGAGGCCTGGTGAGGTGACTTCAAAATGCATACCGGCCAGCGGGGGAAGGACCCAGAGCCCACCTATTAAATGAGTCTAACAGTCATTTAATAAATTGGGAAATTGGGATTCTGAAAGCTGATGTGTGACTTGCTGAAAGTCCAAAGCTACTCAGAGCAGCAAAGCTAAGCAGAGCTGAGACTTAGATTCAGACCTCCTGACCCCAAGAATTGAGAGTTCAGCAGTCTTCTATGTGAAACTCAAAAGCATCCACTGATGCTAGCATCTGTCAGAGAGAGGCAGGACAAGGCCAAGGCCACATGGCTGTGAGCTAGCATCACCAGCCTCTGCTCTGTCATCAGGAGGCATGGCATTGGTACAGATCCCTGGAACCCTGCCAAGTGCTCCAGGCTTTGAGGGCAGCCTCTTCAGCAGTGAAAGAAATCAGGGAAAGACAGGAAAGCCCCTCCAAGGTCAGCGGGCTAGGATGCAAACCACCCAGATGGCCCCCCAGGCTTGCATATCCCTTGGGGCTTTTCATCCGCCTTGGGTCTTTCTAGGTGTTCTGGCATCTCAAGTTGCTTGAAGCATTGCTTTTATTTACCTCTCTGTTGTCTTTCCTTTCTGTCTTCCAAGCAGCTAAGGATACCCCTTGTAGACCTGGTCTCCTCCAGTTTCCTTAACCCATTCTATTTTTTTTTTTTCTTTTTTTGAGATGGAGTTTCGCTCTTGTTGCCCAGGCTGGAGTGCAGTGGTGTGATCTCGGCTCACTGAAACCTCCGCCTCCCAGGTTCAAGCGATTCCTGCCTCAGCCTCCCAAGTAGCTGGGATTACAGGCATGTGCCACCACGCCCGGCTAATTTTGTATTTTTAGTAGAGACGGGGTTTCTCCCTGTTGTTCAGGCTGGTCTCGAACTCCTGACCTCAGATGACCTGCCCTCCTTGGCCTCCCAAAGTGCTGGGATTACAGGCGTGGGCCACGGCGCCCGGCCCTCCTTAACCCATTTATAGTGAATTTCAGAGCAACAAAACATTGCATTTTCAATAAATCTGGATTATGAAGTTGGAAACAAATAAAAGTTGACATGTGCTGAGAGCCCTGACTCAATTTTGAGTCAAGTGGTTTGCCCAAGGGACCTCATTTAACCCTTGCAATTGCCCTTTGAGGCAGATAGTCTGCCCCCATTGACAGAAAAGAGATTCAGAGAGGTTAAATCACCCAAGGTCCTAGAATGAACCAATCCTAAGTCCCCATGTGGACAGTGAAATGATGCGGTACCATTTGCCAACACCCAGAAATCACAACAGTGAGGGGTCCCTCTACCGACTTAGTCCCTACTTGAAATAGTGATTTTAATTTTCTTAAAAGGTGTTGTGGTTAAAACAGACCAACAAATCGAACTTGATTTGTTCAGACAGCTCTGAACCCCACCCTCCCTGTGGGCCGCACCTTAAGGATGGGAAGAAGAGGGCTGCTGGAACGCCAGGCTGGACATGAGAAGCTGCTGAAGTGCCATTCCTCTTTTTCCTAAATGCACACCAAGACACTAGATTTGCGAAAGGCGGAGAAAGGTTCTTACTTAAACTACAGTGATAAGGAGCACCTTGGGATAAACTGGAGAAATGGCTCTAAGCACAGAGCTGTTGTTTTTCTGCCTGCCCCTCCAACATACAAAGATGTCACCAAGCTAACAGGACAAAAGTTAAAGAGGGGATGATCCACTGGAAAAGAGATTTGCAGCCGAGACTGCTATAGCTATCTGAATACTGTAAAGCGAAGCCACAGGAAGGAAGAAGACAGGCAGAAACATCACATACCCAGGGAGAGGGCTTAGTTGACAAGCTAACTAGAGTAAGCGGCTTTGCTTTTTTTTTTTTTTTGAGACGGAGTTTTACTCTGTCGCCCAGGCTGGAGTGCAATGGCGCGATCTTGGCTCACTGCAGCCTTGGTCTTCTGGGTTCAAGCGATTCTCCTGCCTCAGCCTCCCGAGTACCTGGGATTACAGGAACCCACCACCACGCCTGGCTAATTTTTGTATTTTTAGTAGAGACTGGGTTTCACCATGTTGGCCAGGCTGGTCTCAAACTCCTGACTTCTGGTGATCCACCTGCCTCGGCCTCCCAAAGTGCTGGGATTGTAGGTGTGAGCGACCATGCCCGGTAGAGTAAGGGGCTTTTTTTTTTTGAGACTAAGTCTGGCTCTGTTGCCCAGGCTGGAGTGCAGTGGGGCGATCTCAGCTCACTGCAACCTCCGCCTCCTGGGTTCAAGTGATTCTCCTGCCTCAGCCTCCCGAGTAGCTGGGACTACAGGCGTCTGCTACCACGCCTGGCTAATTTTTTGTATTTTTAGGAGAGATGGGGTTTCACCGTGTTAGCCAGGATGGTCTCCATCTCCTGACTTTGTGATCTACACGCCTCAGCCTCCCAAAGTGCTGGGATTACAGGCGTGAGCCACCGCGCCCAGCCAAGTAAGGGGCTTTTCAACAGAAGAAACCACCCAGAGGAAACTGGGGAAACAGAACGCTGTGAACTCATGTGTAGAATAAATGGTGCTCCTTTCTGCATATTCAGCCATCGCCAGCATAAACAGGTAGTTTATGCTTCATCCACTGCACGCATAATGGGTATTTCAAACAACACAATGATATGGGTCAAGGCAGGGTGTAAGTCAAAAATCTGGCAAGCAGAGGACCAAATTCCATCCTAAAATGAAGATTATTTGTGAGTGTGTACGTGTGTGCTCTCCACTTAGAAAGACTTATTTCTGGCCAGGTGCGGTGGCTCATGCCTGTAATCCCAGCACTTTGGGAGGCCGAGGTGGGCAGATTATCTGAGCTCGGGAGTTAGAAACCAGCCTGGGCAACATGGCAAAACCTTGCCTCTACTAAAAATACAAAAAATTAGCCAGGTGTGGTGTTGGGTACCTGTAATCCCAGCTACTTGGGAGGCTGAGGCAGGAGAATCGCTTGAACCCGGGAGGCGGAGGTTGCAGTGAGCAGAGATCATGTCACTGCACTCTAGCCTGGCGACAGAGCAAGACTGTCTAAAAAAAAAAAAAAAAAAAGAAAGAAAGACTTATTTCCAGTTCCTCAAACTTCTGAAAGATTCCAGGATTGTACTGTTTTTTGATGGGGGTTAATACACAAAGCTGTCACCACTAAGCACGGCCATAAGTCACAACGTCTTTCTGGCGGTTGATGGAGAAAGTTATGTGGGAGGGTGGGGAGAGGAGGGGAGGTGGTGCCCAGACAAGTCAGAGGAGGCTCCTATGGGAACAGAAATACCTGCCATGGCAGGTGCCACAAAACCCCAAGCAGTGGAGACTGGCTGGCTTTGAATCCAAAGGTTCTCCTAGATTGAACCCACCATCCCTGTAAAGGTCCAAATTAAAACGTTTTACAGGTCGAGAGGTCTCCTCTAGGAGATAATTTACAATTGTCTGCCCTGGCAATGAAAGAAAAAAATCTGAAATCTTAACTGGCTGTGGCACAAAGATGGTGGAAGAATATAGACCTTGCCATGGATACTTTCTTGGCATTCAGTATCATGTCAGCATCCCTGGAGGTGGGCTTTCCCAGTTAACTGGGTTCTTTGTCGTTCCCAACCACACTATTTGTGCATTCAGCATGCACAACACATTTGTAGATGCCCCTGGCTGCTTTTGCAATGAAAGAGTCCCAACCTGGATGTGAAAGTTTCTACACCTTTGCAAGAACATGGTCCAAAAGCTACCTTGCAATAGGTAAGTATGGCAAGGCCAGTCCCTGTCTCAAAATGGATGGTGGAGAGTTAAACGAGAAATTTGCTTCCTTAAAATAGAAAGGCTACCTAGAACAAGGGTGTTATAAAAATGCACAAATCCTGGTTCTATCTCTTATTAGCTGGCAACCCAGACAAATTATCTAACTTCTGTGGGTTTTCATTTGTTCACCTATAAAGATATACGACCTTGTGTACTAGACAGGATTATTATATAAATTAAATAATGCACACATGCACTCAGCACAGTGCCTGGCCCATGGTAAAGAACAGGATTCATTCCCTCAGAGGTTCTCTTTCTACCAATTCCAGAGTCACAAATACCAACTGTATCTATTCATCTTTTCGGATTTTGTGATGCACTTTTATTAGAAACAAGCTCCACAAGGGCAGAGGCCTTTTCTGTTTTATCAAACAGCCCTAATCTCAGTGCTAAATAAATATCTGTTGTATAAACACATTAATAAACAGAAGTGTCAATACTCTTTGGAATAATTGTGGATATTTATTTGTAGGTGTGTATCCAGTGGGTGATGGTAGTATGTCTTTGATCTTAGGAACCACAGCTGCTTTGTGTAGCATAATTAGTGCACGGTACCAACACAGTCTACGGTATACATATGCCTAACACAGGGCTTCTCAAACTTTTTGGTCTCAGGACTCCCTTTACACACTTAAAATTACTGACAGCCCCAAACAGCTTTTTTTTTTTTTTTTTTTTTTTTTTTTTTTTTGAGACGGAGTTTTGCTCTGTCGCTGAGGCTGGAGTGAATTGGTGCGATCTCGGCTCACTGCAACCTCTGCCACCCGGGTTCAAGTGATTCTCCTGCCTCAGCCTCCTGAGTAGCTGGGATTACCGGTGCCAACAACCACACCCAGCTAATTTATATATTTTTATTAGAGACGGGGTTTTGCCATGTTGGCCAGGCTAGTCTTGAACTCCTGACCTCAAGTGATCCGCCCACCTCGGCCTCCCAAAGTGCTGGGATTACAGGCATAAGCCACGCGCCCGGCCTTTATTTTTTCATTTTTTTACTTTAAATTTCTCCTAACTCCCCAAACTTGTTATTTAAAAAAAAGATAAGATTATTTATTTCTTGTTGAGATATTCTGTTGCCCAGGCTAGAGTGCAATGGTGCAATCATGGCTCACTGCAGCCTCAACCACCTGGGCTTAAGCGATCCTCCTACCTCAGCCTCCTGGGCAGCTGGGACTACAGGCATGTGCCACCATGTTTGGCTAATTGTTTTATTATGTGTAATTTTTTTTTATTAGACTCACTGCAGCCTCAAACTCCTGGGCTCAAGCGATTCTCCTGCCTTGGCCTCCCAAAGTGCTAAGCTCTGTTTCCTAAGTGCTTCCTAAAGACCATACTTCCTCCCTGGGGTCTTCCTTAGAACAGTCATAGAAAGTGCTTCTTTCTCCATCTGGCCTACACATAGAATTTCCATTTACCATGACACTGCTTGGTAGGTTTAAAATTTCATAAATGAATTTATCACAGGTTGCATGTAACCCAGTCTGTGTTGATTTTCTTTCTTTTTTTTTCTTTTTCTTTTTCTTTTTTTTTTTGAGATGGAGTCCCACTCTGTCACCCAGGCTGGAGTGCAATGGCACGTCTCGGCTCACTGCAACCTCTGCCTCCCGGGTTCCAGCAATTCTCCTGCCTCAGTCTCCCGAGTAGCTGTGATTACAGGTGGCCGCCACCATGCCCGGCTAATTTTGTATTTTTAGTAGAGACGGGGTTTCGCCAGGTTAGCCAGGCTGGTCCAACTCCTGACCTCAGGTGATCTGCCCACCTCGGCCTCCCAAAGTGCTGGGATTACAGGTGTGAGCCACCACGCCCAGCCCAGTCTCTGTTAATTTTCATAGCACCATTGTAATATTAGAGAATATAATTTAATCTATTTTATGGTCATTTATCAAACTGTTTTTATTAAATGAAGCACTGGCTTTGTGTCACCTGTCTACACAGAGGCACAGTATGATAAATCAGATACTCTTATTTATTACAGGGAATCCTGCTAGTTCACATTAAATTCTCTTTGTGAAGACCCATGGAAGGAAGGTCTGGGGGCCAAGAAAAAAACCGAGTTTCTCCTGCACTACCAGTTTGTTTTCACATTATAAGGACCTTCCAAATTGTATCATTAATCACTTCCCCTTCTTGCTTTGAGTGCTCTTAGGAAGCTGAAAGCCAACTCTGCAGACCATGTCTAGTAGATGATCTGGATCTCAGGATATACAGTTTGTGCATCAACCTTATCTCAAGGTTTAGCCTCAGTTCACCCACTTATTTATTTTAAATACTGTTGTACTAGCTGGATAGGAGGAGTAAGTTCCGGTGTTCTACAGCACTATAACAACAGTTATATATAGTTCAATTATATAGTTCGACAGCACTATAACAACAATTTATTGTATATTTTCAAATAGCTAGAAGAGCAGATTTTGAATGCTTCCAACACAAAGAAATGATAAACGTTAGAGGTGATGGATATGCTAATTACCATAATTTGACCATTGCATATTGTACACATGAATGGAAATATCACACTGAACATCATAAATATGTATAATTATTCTGTGTCAATTAAAAATAATATGAGGCCGGACATGGTGGCTAACACCTGTAATCCCAGCACTTTGGGAGGCCAAGGTGAATGGATCACGTGAGGTCAGGAGTTTGGGACCAGCCTGGCCAACATGGAGAAACCCTGTCTCTACTAAAAATACAAAAATTACCATGGTGGTGGACGCCTGTAATCCTAGCTACTCAGGAGGCTGAGGCACAAGAATCACTTGAACCCAGGAGGCGGAGGTTGCAGTGAGCCAATTTGCGCCACTGCACTCTAGCCTGGGCGGCAGAGCAAGACTATTTCAAAAATAATAATAGTAATAGGAACAACACGAAAAAACTGTGGGTATAATGAAAGAAACTTTTAGCAAATAAACAAAATCTGAAAAAACTAGAATCAGGCCCCAGAAATTCATGACACTATTTAAAACAGACTGGCTGAGGTTAAAATAGACTCATTAGAGTCTTTGTAAGTTTAACATATTTTTATTTCTATAATATTTTTCCCCATGGAGAAATAAATACTATTGTACTCACTATGTGTATTTCTACAATCCCTTTTTGGGATGAGGCAGGGTATGTATGAATAAGTAGAATGTATCTTTATTATTTATTTATTTATTTTGAGATGGAGTCTCACTCTGTGGCCCAGGCTGGAGTGCAATGGCGCGATCTTGGCTCACTGTAACCTCCGCCTCTCAGGTTCAAGCGATTCTCCTGCTTCAGCCTCCCAAGTAGCTGGAATTATAGGCACCCACCACCACGCCCAGCTAATTTTTGTGTTTTCAGTAGAGACGGGGTTCCACAACGTTGGCCAGGCTGGTCTCAAACTCCTGACCTCAGGCGATCTGCCTGTCTCAGCCTCCCAAAGTGATGGGATTACAGGCGTGAGGCACCACGCCCGGCCGGAATGAATCTTTAATCTACCACTTATAGTTTTAATCTCCCTCCCTCCGCTCCCTCCCTCCCTCACTTCCTTCCCTTTCTTTCCCTCCCTCCCTCTTTCACTCTCTTTCTCTCCCTCCCTCCCTCTCTCTCCTTCCTTCCTCTTTCTCTTCCTCCTTTCCTTCTTTCTCCTTCCTTCCTTCCTTCCTTCTTTCTCCCATTCATTCACTCATTTTTTGATACAGTGACTCTCACTGTGTTGCTCAGGCTGATCTCAAACTCCTGGGCTAAAGTGATCCTCCCGTCTCAGCTTCCCAAAGTGCTGGGATTACAGGCATGAGCCACCACTCCCAGACTAATTTACTACTTTAATCGTCGTTCTCAGATGAGTCCCTGAGATAAATGGTCAAAAATCAGTTGTAGCAAAGTAGGAAGTAGGAAAACTTTTAGTCATTTATTTTCCATAGTCCATATTATTAACTACATTTCCACACACAAATGAGCTGTTACTTAACATTACAAACATTCAACTACCACACATCTAATGCACTTTGAAGGGGTCTCTTTTCTTTTCTTTCTTTTTTTTTTTTTGAGACGGAGTCTCACTCTGTTGCCCAGGCTGGAGTGCAGTGGTGCGATCTCGACTCACTGCAAGCTCTGCCTCCCGGGTTGACGCCATTCTCCCGCCTCAGCCTCCCGAGTAGCTGGGACTACAGGCGCCCGCCACCACGCCCAGCTAATTTTGTCTGTATTTTTAGTAGAGATGGGGTTTCACCGTGTTAGCCAGGATGGTCTCGATCTCCTGACCTCGTGATCCACCCGTCTCGGCCTCCCAAAGTGCTGGGATTACAGGCGTGAGCTACTGTGCCCGGCAGAGGGTGTCTCTTTTCAAAAGCTCTCTTGCAATCAGAGGAAAGGAAGAAAAATGCCAGGTAAATGAGATGTATTATCTTTCACTCCTTACAAACACCTATGAAAGGCTATTATTTCTTCCCCATTTGATAGGTGAGAAAATGGAGGCCCCAAAAGGTTAATTTTCCTAAAGTTACACAGATGGTAAAGGCAGAATTTAGAAATCAGGTCTTTGGCACTTGAAAGCTCATGGAAGTGTGTTCATTGTGTGAAAGTTCAAGGAAGTGTATGTTTATGATCTGCACTTTTCTGGGTGAATATTACACTGCTATAAAATGGGAAAAGAAAAAGGCCACAAGGTTCTTCTGATGTATCTCAATTCAATGCCAATGTGACAAAATAAAGGATGTAGGTAGAGCAGAATAACAAGGTACACGTTGTTCCTTGGCAGCCCCAGCAGACTGGTTCCAGGACCCCCGCAGATATCAAAATCCACAGGTGTTGAAGTCCCTGATGTCAAATGGCATAGTATGTGCAAATAACCTATGCACAATCTCTCATATACTTTTTACTTTTAACTTTTTTTTCCAGTCTCAGTTTGTTCACGTGTATTTTTTTTTTTTTTTTTTGGTAGAGGCAGAGTCTCACTATGTTGCCCAGGTTGGTCTTGAACTCCTGAGCTCAAGTGACCCGCCTGCCTTAGCCGCCCAAAATGCTGGGATTACAGGCATGAGCCACTGTGCCCAGCCTTCTCATATACTTAAAATCACCTCTACATTACTTCTAACACCTAATGCAATGTAAATTCTGTGTAAATAGTTGTTGTACTGTATTGCTTTTTATTTGTATTATTTTTGTTGTTTTTATTTTTCCAATAAATTTTTTACATTATTTATTTATTTATTTTTTTAGAGACAGGGTCTCACTATGTTGCCCAGGCTAGTCTTGAACTCCTAGTCACCTCAGCCTCCCAAGTAGCTGGGATTACAGGCACATGCCACCACGCCCAGCTCTGTTTTAGAATATTTTGGATCCTCGGCTGGTTGAATCCTAAGGCCAACTATAACGAGTTACAGGCATGGTCCTGATGTTACTGTCTTAACTAATCTGTAATGGTGGGATTATTTTTATGAATGAAGTACATCTAATGAATGGATTCTTTATTAAGTTTGCACCTCTCATATGCCCATTCTCCAAGGACACTGGGTCACAGGGATGACATAAGTGACAACCCATGCTTGTGTGTTTGAGGCCTCCACAGTAAGGAAGCAGGCCGAGAATAGATCAAAATGCAATAATTATGGTAACAACAACATGTACCTCATCTCTTCTTATCTTTTTGTTAGATTTTCTTCTTTCTCATTAAAAACACGTATAAGCAAATGTAATATCAACAAGTAGGTTTTCTACTTTGCTGAATATTAAAGTTTCCAGCTGACCTGATACTATTTTAGGAGATCCTCTGCCATCACCTGCCGCTATTTATTTAGAAATGTAAAGTCACTTTATCATTAACCTCAATAATTCATAATTAGGAAGGTAAACCTGCCTCTGAAAACAAAGCCCCACCACAGGAATCATTTTGAAGTTGAATTTCTTACAGCTTATTCATGACAAGATTCAGACTCATTAGGGCAGTCCTCGCGTAAAATCAGATTAAAGGGGTAAAAGGAAGATATTGAACTGAGCGTCAGGAACTGGATTCCAGTCTTGCCACTAATTAGTTGTTACCTTGAATAAGTAACTTAATATGTAGGTTTTTCCTTCCTTTTTCAGTAAAATGGAGACATCAAATTTCTAAGGTTTCTTCCATTTTACCCTTCTGAAGTGGCTCAAAAACAATTATATTGAGACCAGATGCGGTGGCTCACGCCTGTAATCCTAGCACTTTGGGAGGCTGAGGCGAGTGGATCACGAGGTCAGGAGATTGAGACCATCCTGGCTATAACGATGAAACCCCGTCTCTACTGAAAATACAAAAAATTAGCTGGGTGTGGCAGCGGGCACCTGTAGTCCCAGCTGCTGGGGAGGCTGAGGCAGGAGAATGGCGTGAACCTGGGAGGTGGAGCTTGCAGTGAGCCGAAAACGCGCCACTGCACTCCAGCCTGGGCAACAGAGTGAGACTCCATCTCAAAAAAAAAATTATATTGAATACCCATCTGCATAGGGAACAATACAAAACATTGAACATCCTCTAGTGAAAATGAAGAAGCCTGAGTAGGGACAGAAGGCCCCTCACCTCTGCACAGCAGTAAGTGTGGATGGACAAAGCCATGATGCTCCTTCAAAAACAGTTCTTGGCTTCCTCCAGCCTACAGACATCTGCCAATCTGGTTATAGGCCATGGACATGGCCTTGATACTAATATTTCTGAAGGATTCCCTAGGGGCCAGGTGAGGACACCAGAACCAGAGGACAAAATAGAGAGGCCAAGCCAACGATGACTGACATCATAAGCCATGATCTCTTTAAAGCCCAGAGTGATCCTAGTGATGGGGCCATCTGGGTCACTATCAGAGGGATGGCAGTTCTCTTCTAGAAAACAAAATCCTATTTGACGAAAGCAGAAAATCCAGCGGATGAAAGCCAGGGTCCAGAGAGAGATACGCATTGCCTTCATATCACAACCATGAGGCCGAAGCCATATGACCACAGGCAAGTCTCTTCACATCTCTAAGCCTCAGTTTCCTGTTCAATAGATTATTCATAGAATTTAACCCAGTGGGGTTCTTGTGAGAAATTAATGAAAAAAATACACCTAAAACATTTAGCACACAGCCAAGATAACAGATAACAAGATAACAGCTCTCTGGACAGTAATTCTGTCAGCACCGCTCCCCCCAGCCCTAATCCAAGTCCTCTCATTTATGCACAGGCATCTGCTAAGAAGTTTCTAGTTTGTCTGTATAACTTCCTGTACATCCCTCCCTTTTGTGGAATACCTGTCCCAAGCCACGGGGACTCTAAATGCTCAGTAAGAACTTGCTAAAAGAATGAATAATTTATAAGGGACCTAATATAGCACCAAGGCATGATTATGATCCAAGCAGACTCTTTGGGCCCATTTGTGCCAGAGACTCCGTTATTTTGTAATTAACAAATATCGTGAATTTGCTTTGAAGATTGTCAAAGAACATGACAATTCTGCCTCAGGTGTTTGACTCAGGGCAAAGCATTTAAACTCTATGTGCCTCAGTTTCCTTTTCTATAAAGTGGGACTAACAATAGTAGCCTACACATAGGTTTAAATGTGAAGTGCCTGCCTGACACATGGCACTTAATAAGTGTTAGCTATCTTATTTCATTTATTTTATTTATTTATTTATTTATTTATTTATTTATTTTATTCATATAGACATGCGGTTTCACTATGTTGCCCAGGCAGGTCTCAAACTCCTGGGCTCAAGCAAACCTCCTGCCTCAGCCTCCCAAGCAGCTGGGACTAAAGGTGTGCGCCACAGCATCTGGCATTAGATATCTTATTTTAAACCTGGTAAAAAATGTTCCATTAGGCCAGGCGCAGTGGCTTATGCCTGTAATCCCAGCACTTTGGGAGGCTGAGGCAGGTGGATGACCTGAGGTCAGGAGTTCGAGGCCAGGCTGGCCAACATGGTGAAACCCTGTGTCCACTAAAAATATAAAAATTAAGCCTGGCACGGTGGCTCTCACCTGTAATCCTGGCACTTTGGAGGCTGAGGTGGGCAGATCACGAGGTCAAGAGATCGAGACCATCCTGGCCAACATGGTGAAACCTCGTCTCTACTAAAAATACAAATATTAGCTGGGCATGGTGGTGTGCGCCTGTAGTCCCAGCTACTCGGGAGGCTGAAGCAGGAGAATCGCTTGAGCCCAGGAGGCGGATGTTGCAGTGAGCCAAGATCACACCACTGCACTCCAGCCTGGGCAACAGAGTGAGACTTGGTCTCAAAAAAAAAAAAAAATTTAGTGATAATGTAGTGATGGATAAAAATCTGAGCCCATAATACCTTCATCATTGTTAGTAAGTCCTGTTTGACTGTCAGCACCACCAGGGAGTCAGGAGACTCAACTCTCTACCTCCTCCTCTTCCCACTGTCTTATTCCCTTAGTCTAGATCAGGCCCTGGAATCTGCATTTTAAATATCTTCCTTGAGTGAGTTGGACACAGGTCGTCACCAAACTGACACACATATGAACAAAAAAAAAAAAAAAAAAAGAAAAGAAAAGAAAAAATACAGACAAATATAGCCCTGGAACTTAATGAGGGAACTGGGCCAAATCTTGGGTGATTCCCCTCTCCCTCGAAGAGAGGGATTTATGGTTTAGGTAAAAACCATTAAGAACACATTGGTTTTTTTCATTGGTTTCACTTTGAGTTTCTGCCTCCTGCAACCCAAAACACAATCATACAGAGCTTCGCAGCGTGGGTCTGGGCCCTGCGTGAGCAGGGCCACGTGACCGAGACTGCCTGTGCTGAAGAGCTGAAAGCAGAGGAACACACAGGCAAGGGGAACCTACAGATATTTCCCCCTTTACTTTCTTTTCTTTTTTTAAAAAAACTATAATCCCATAGAGACATATGTGACAAGTCTGACAAATGGACAAAGGAATGACGCTTGTTCTCATTTAGAAAAAGCTTGCTGATGCTGGATGTGTGTCAATGCACAAAGCTGTGGCTCGAATAGCCAAGGACATAGCATGTTTTTTTGTTTTTGGTTTTTTTGTTGTTTTTTTAATAGATGAGAGCTTCCTATGTTGCTCAGTCTAGTCTCAAACACCTGACCTCGCCTTCTTATGTGCCAGGACAACAGGCCTGAGTCACCGTGCCTCCTGACATAGCATCTTTCGTACAGGATTTAGGGAAGCATGAGAGCACTGGAAATAAAACCTAAATGGTGGGTGAGCTATAGGTAAACACTGAAATATCATGATCTTATTAAAAAGAAAATAGTGAACCCAAAGAACCTGATATACAAGAGAAAATGAACCAGGCTGCCAAAATCCTCTGTTTCAACAACAGAAGTCAATGGGATACAGTGGTTTAAAATCATGTAAAGTGAGTAAAATGTTCAACCCTGTGAGAACAGAGCAGTAATCGTGATGGGCCATCAGCCAGATAAAAGTGTCCATATTTCTGGTCCCAGGCAGTATCTCTCTCTCTCTCTTTTTGTTTTGTTTTGTTTTGTTTTTTTTTGAGACGGAGTTTGGCTCTTGTCGCCCAGGCTGGATTGCAATGGCACAATCTCGGCTCACTTTAACCTCCACCTCCTGCCTTCAAGCAATTCTCGTGCCTCAGCCTCCTTAGTAGCTGGGATTACAGGTGTCCACCACCACGCCCGGCTCGTTTTTGTATTTTTAGTAGAGATGGGGGTTTCACCACATTGGCCAGGCTGGTCTCGAACTCCTGACCTCAAGTGTTCTGCCCACCTCGGCCTCCCAAAGTCCTGGGATTACAAGCATGAGCCACTGTGCCCAGCCTCCAAGCAGTACCTCATGCAACACAAGTATTTAAGTATTTATCAAAGATGGTCATAATCAGCTCTTAAAACATACTAACTAAACACAACACTGTACACAGAAACACTTAAAAATACCACTTATAAGAGCATCAAAAGTTTTAAGGTATTTTAATATATTTTAAAAGTTATATATATTCCTATATATTATATGATATGTAGGAATATTTACTATACACTAATACATATGTAATATAATATATTCTACGTATGTAGGGAGATGTAGGAATACACACAGTTGCAGCATTTCAGTCAACAATGGACTGCATATATGACAGGGGTCCCATGAGGGATAGTATATACACATTCCTTATAACACCATATTTTCACTGTACCTTTTCTATGTTTACATATGTTTAGAGACACAAATAATTTCTGTTGTGTTACAGTTGCCTACAGTATTCTGTACAATAACATGCTGTACAGGTTTGTAGCCTTGGAGCCATAAGCTACATACCATATAGCCTAGGTGTGTAGTGGGCTATACCATCTAGGTTTGTGTAAGTACACTCTGATGTTCACACAATGACAAAATCACCTAATGATGCATTCCTCAGGATGCCTCCCCTTCGTTAAGTGACACATGACTGGATTGTATATTCTACAGGTCAAGTTTTATAAAGAAAACCACAACGTTCTTGGGGCATTGAAGAAGATATACATAATTGGTGTTCATGCACTTATATAATTTTACTATGTGCCTGAGACTATTCTGAGCACTTTGCACATATTATATGCAAGACATGTAATCACCTAATCCTCTCAATTACCCTATACAGTAGGTACTATTATGACCCTATAAGGTAGGTACTACTACGATCCCTATTACACAAGTGAGATAACTGAGACACTCTAAGGTCAAATTCTCCAGGGTCACATGGCCAGTGAGGAGCGGAGCTAGGATCTGCACCCAGGAGGTCTGCCTCCATCCTTTTAGCGATTCTGCACACTGCCTTTCAATGTGGTACACTCTATTGTAAACGTGCTGGTTCTCCCCACATTGGTCTACAGGTTCAGTGCAGTCCTAATAACTCCAAAAGATTCTGTAACAGAATTGGAACTGTTTCTAAAATTTACATAGAAGCACAAGAGGCCAAGAACACCAAGACATCATTGAAGAAGAACAAGGTGGAAGCACATGCCCTCCCAGATGGCATGACTCCTTAAAGGCTGTCATAACTAAGACAATGTAGAGCTGGATCTAAGGTTGACAAAGAGACGGACAGCACATAGAGAGCACAGAAACAGACGGAGCACACATGCATGACACAGGTGGCATTCCAGAGTGTGTGGGAAAGATGGAAGCTGCAATAAACAGTGCCTGGACAAACACATATCTATTTAAATGAAAACTGAAATGGACCTCTACCTTCCAACATTCATAAAAATCAGTTTCAGATGAGTGAAATACCATATAAGAAAATGTGAAAGGGGAAAAAAACTATAAAGAATAGAGGAGAATATCTTCAAAAAACTATGAAGAATACAGGAGAATAACTTCATAAATAGGGAAGAATTTCTTAAAATATAAAAGCATTAACCATAAAGAAAAAGACTGATAAATTCAACAATATTAAACTTAAGAATGTATGCTGGCCGGGCGCAGTGGCTCATGCCTGTAATCCCAGCACTTTGGGAGGCCGAGATGGGTGGATCACTTGAAGTCAGGAGTTCGAGACCAGCCTGGCCAACATGGTGAAACCCCGCCTGTACTAAAAATACAAAAATTGGCAGGTGTCGTGGCGCACGCCTGTAGTCCCAGCTACTTGGGAGGCTGAGGCAGGAGAATCTCTTGAACCCCGGAGGTGGAGCTTGCAGTGAGCTGAGATCGTGCCACTGCACTCCAGCCTGGGTGACAGAGCCAGACTCTGTCTCAGAAAAAAAAAAAAAAAAAAAAAAATGTGTATGCCTTTGAATGCATACACATTCTTAATTTTAATATTGTTGAATTTATCAGTAAAAAGTAAAAAGACAAATCACAAAGTCGGAGAAGATATTTGCAACACATATTCTCGACAAAAAGAGTCATACTATATCTTCGGATGCTGGGCACTGAAAAATAAAAAGAAAAAAAGATTCATACCAGAATATATTAAGGAGTCCTACAAATCAGTAACAAATTAGCTTTATAAAAAGAGACAATCCACAGAAAAATGGGCAAAAAGTTTGAATAAACACTCAAAAAAAAAAGTATACAGATGGCCAACAAACCTATTAGTAATCAGGGAAAAGCAAATTAAAACCACAACAAGATACCATTTCATAGTCACCATTTTGGCAAAAATATAAAAATCTAACACTACCGAGTTTTGGTGAAAATTAGGAATAATAAAAATGCTCATTCTATTTTTTTCATTTAAGAGACAGAGTTTCTTTATTGTCCAGGCTGGAGTGCATTGGTGCAATCATAGCTCACTGCAACCTTGAACGCTTGGACTCAAGAGATCTTCCCACTTTAGCCTCTCAACTAGCTAGTACTACAGGCAAGAACCACCATGCCCAGCTAATATCTTTAAAAATTTTTTGTAGAGATGGGGTCTTGTTATGTTGCCTAGGCTAGTTTTAAACTCCTGGCCTCAAGCAATCCTCCCACTTCAGCCTTCTAAAGTGCTAGGATTAAAGGCATGAGTCACCCCACACAGCCAAAAGAAAATTTTTTTTTAAAGATAATTATGTAAAGTGACAGACGTGTTAAATTGATTTCGGTAATCATTTCACAATGTATACATATATAAAATCATCCTTTGTATATTTTATTTTATTTACTTATTTTTGAGATGGGGTCTCACTCTGTCACCCAGGCTGGAGTGCAATGACACAATCTCTGCTCACTGCAACCTCTGCCTCCCAGGCTCAAGCTATCCTCCCACCTCAGCCTCCCGAGTAGCTGGGACCACAGGCATGTGCCACCACGCCTGGCTAGTTTTTGTACTTTTGGTAGAGATAGGGTTTCATCATGTTGCCCAGACTGGTCTCGAACTCCTGAGCTCAAGCGATCCGCCCGCCTTGGCCTCCCAAAGTGCTGGGATTACAAGCATGAGCCACCGCGCCCAGCCCCTGTTGTACATTTTAAATATATATTAACATTTTGTCAATTATACTTCAATAAAGCTGAAAAGAAAAAAACCCTTTTTAAAAACCCAACCTCAGCCAGGCAGGGTGGCTCATGCCTTTAATCCCAACACTTTGGGAGGCCGAGGCGGGTGAAACACCTGAGGTCAGGAGTTCAAGACCAGCCTAACCAACATGGTAAAACCCTGCCTCTACTAAAAATACAAAAATTAGCCGGGCATGGTGGTGCGTGCCTGTAGTCCCAGCTACTCGGGAGGCTGAGGCAGGAGAATCGCTTGAACCCGGGAGGCAGAGGTTGCAGTGAGCCGAGATTGCGCCACTGCACTCCAATCTGGATGACCGAGTGAAACTCCATCTAAAAAAAAGAAACAACAAAAAAACCCAGCCTCTTATTCACTGTTAGAGGGAGTACAAACTAGAACCACCTCTTTGGAAAACAGTTTCGAGTTACAGCACAAAGCTAAAAATACAAATATCTGACAATCCAACAATCCACCTTCCACCTATACCCTAGAAAAACTTTTGTGTAACTGTACCAGGAGATGCGTACAACAATGTCCTTCACAGCCATTTTCATAAGAGTCAAAAGTTAGAAACAGTTCAATGTCCATTGACAGTAAAACAGATAAATGCATTGTTGTAGTACACAGGAATACTAAACAATGAAGATGAACAAATGATAGCTATTAGCATCAACATGGGCCAGACTCTCAATCATAATGTCGACAAAAGCAAACATATAAAAAGTAATATATACTGTTCTAATTTATATGATGTTCAAAATTGCGAAACTAGATGATGTACGTCAGGCGCAGTGGCTCACACTTGTAATAATCCCAGAGTTTTGGGAGGCCAAGCAGGGAGGATCACCTGAGGTCAGGAGTTCCAGACCAGCCTAGCCAATATGCTGAAACCCCATCTCTACCAAAAATACAAAAAATTAGCCGGGCATGGTGGCAGGCACTTGTAATCCCAGCTACTCAGCAGGCTGAGGCAGGAGAATCGCTTGAATCTGGGGGGCGGAAGATGCAGCGAGCCGAGATCGCACCATTGCACTCCAGCCTGGGTGACAAGAGCAAGACTGCCTCAAAAAAAAAAAAAAAAAAAAATTAAAAATAAATAACAAGAAAAAGAAAAAGAGGCTGGGCATGGTGGTTCACATCTGTAATCCCAGCACTTTTGGAAGCTGAGGCTGGTGGATTGCTTGAGCCCAGAAGTTCGAGACCAGCCTAGGAAACATGGCAAAACTTTGTCTTTATAAAAAATATAAAAATTAACTGGGCATGGTGGCGTATGCCTGTGGTCCCAGCTACTTGAGAGGCTGAGGTGGGAGGATCACTTGAGCCTGGGAGGCAGAGGCTGCAGTGAGCCATGATCACACCACTGCACTCTAGCCTGGGTGATAGAGCGAGACCCTGTCTCAAAAAAAAGAAAAAGAAAAGAGAAATATGTCGCAATGAAATTTTATTCAAGACAGCAAGAATGTTCAATGACAAGAAACCCTAAATAAAAGCAACAACAGCTGACCAAAATTTGATTTTTGGTCAAATTTTGTTAGAAGATGAAGCCTGAAAATTAGCATGGACATTGAGTTGTATTATGTATTGGAGGAATTATCACAAAATAATTAGAAAAGAGGTAGGAAATTCACAGCAGAGCAAATACCTGATGATGTTTTAGTTATATTTTAAAGGTAGGCTATAAAATTTAAATACGGCAATATGATGATACCTTGTTTTTATTTTTATTTTTTATTTATAGAGATGAGGTCTCCTTATGTTGCCCAGGCTGGTCTCAAACTCCTGGGCTCAAGTGATCCTCCTGCCTCAGCCTCCCAAAGTGCTGGGATTATGAGTGTAAGCCACCACACTTAGCCAATACATTTTATTGAATAATTCTTTTCTATTTCTTCCCTTCTTGCCTCAAAAAAAATAAAGTTCTCTTCCCCAAACCTAAGACTTTTCACTCTGACTGCAGCTAAGCACAGAACTATACAGAAAGTATAAATTATATCCCTGAAGGTCTACACTCACCCTCTAACAGCAAATAGATTTCTGCTCAGCCCTGAGTTTTCTGAAAATGGTTTTACATTTGTTTTTACTAGGAGGCCACTTAAATCTTACCCACTTGTTTAGCTGCAAGGATTGAAACAAAATGTTTGCTGGCAAAACAAACACTGGTTTTAAAATTCTCCACTTGGGCTGCTGGATAAAACACTTGTTTACTGAAACAAATGTTTTATTTGGAAAATGCCTGTCAGTGTGTACACTTTCCAAGAAACACACCAGGATGTACCAGGATAGTGATGTCACACCCTTGATAGAAGCTAGCATTTTAGGGCAACTTCACCAAGTTTACTTTCAGAGACTAGGACAACAATGGGAAAATCAAGCTGTTAAAAATTCAACCACCTGGGCCAGCCATGGTGGCTCACGCCTATAATCCCACAACTCTGGGAGGTCGGGAGATCAAAACCATCCTGGCTAACACGTTGAAACTTTGTCTCTACTAAAAATACAAAAAATAAACTGGGCATGGTGGCACATGCCTATGATCCCAGCTACTGGGGAAGCTGAGGCAGGAGAATCGCTTGAACCCGGGAGGCCGATGTTGCAGTGAGCTGAGATCGCGCCACTGCACTCCAGCCTGGGCAACAAGAGCAAAACTCCATCTCAAAAAAAAAAAAAAAAAATTCAACCCCCAGCCAGGCACTGTAATCCCAGCACTCTGGGAGGCCCAGGCAGGAGGGCTGCTTGAACTCAGGAGCTCGAGATCAGCCTGGGCAACATGGCAAGACCTGTCTGTACAAAAAATTAAAAAAAAAAAAAAAATAGCCAGGGCATGGTGGCACGTGCCTGTAGTCCCAGCTAATTGGGAGGCTGAGGTGGGAGGATTGCATAAATCCAGAAGGTGGAGGCTGCAGAGTCATGTTCGAGCCACTGCACTCCAGCCTGGGTGACAGAGTGAGACCCTGACTCAAAAAAAAAAAAAAAAAAAAAAAAAAATTAAAATTAAACCCCAAAGGCCTAAAATGCTCTTACTGGGTCATTAGGTAAGCTGGTTCCATTCCTTCACAGCTAAATTCTTTATATAATCAAATTAGTTTTATAAATGATATTCTAATAATAATAATTTTAGAGGCCAGGCATGGTGGCTCACGCCCGTAATCCCAACACTTTGGGAGGCCGACATGGGCGGATCACGAGGTCAGGAGCTCAAGACCAGCCTGGCCAACATAGTGAAACCCCGTCTCTACTAAAAATACACAAATTAGCCAGGCATGGTGGCGCCTGCCTGTAGTCCCAGCTACTCGGGAGGCTGAGGCAGGAGAATCTCTTGAACCCGGGAGGTGGAGGTTGCAGTGAGCCAAGATGGCACCACTGCACTCCAGCTCGGACAACAGAGTGAGACTTTGTCTTAAAAAAATAATAATAATAATTTTAGAATCAAATCTCTTCCTTTAGATTTAATCTGTGCCTTCTGTTTTTGTTTCTGTTTTTTTTTGAGGCGGAGTTTTGCTTTTGTCGCCCAGGCTGGAGTGCAATGGCGGAATTTCGGCTCATTGCAACCTCTGCCTCCCCAGGTTAAAGCGATTCTCCTGCCTCAGCCTCTGCAGTAGCTGGAATTACAGGCACCCGCCATCATGCCCGGCTAATTTTTGTATTTTTAGTAGAGACGGGGTTTCACCATGTTGGCCAGGCTGGTCTCAAACTCCTGACCTCAGGTGATCCACCCGCCTCGGCCTCCCAAAGTGCTGGGATTACAGGCGTGAGAAACCGTGCCTGGCCCTAATCTGTGCCTTCTGGTTCTCGTATTTAACATGGTACGAAAAACCGTTTCTATCTCTTAATAAGATATACTAGCACCCTGGAACGCCACCATTAGCCATAAAACGGGATTGAGCATATGGCAAGTCTATGTTAAAACTCATCCAAGGAGATTCACTTTATTTTTATTTTTATTTTTTTTTGAGATGGAGTCTCGCTCTGTCGCCCAGGCTGGAGTGCAGTGGCGCTATCTGAGCCCACTGCAAGCTCCGCCTCCCAGGTTCACACCATTCTCCTGCCTCAGCCTCCCGAGTAGCTGGGACTACAGGCGTGTGCCACCACGCCCAGCTAATTTTTTTTCTGTATTTTTTAGCAGAGGCAGGGTTTCACCGTATTAGCCAGGATCGTCTCAATCTCCTGACCTCGTGATCCGCCCGCCTCGGCCTCCCAAAGTGCTGGGATTACAGGCGTGAGCTACCGCGCCCAGCTGAGATTGACTTTCTTAAGTACCAAAAGGAAACATCATAAAAGACAGCCTTGGGATCCTAGGGTTAATTTCATATGGTGGCTCCAAGAAACACGTTATATTTAACCAAATAAGATTCTCCTGATGAAGCTTAAGGATTCTTATCAATAGTTTCTTGCTAATGTTAGGCACTAAGAAAACATGGATCGGCTGGGCGCGGTGGCTCATGCCTATCATCCCAGCACTTTGGGAGGCCGAGGCGGGTGGATCACGAGGTCAGAGGTTGGAGACCAGCCTGGCTAATATGGTGAAACCCCGTCTCTATTTAAAAAATACAAAAATTAGCCGGGCGTGGTGGCACGCACCTGTAGTCCCAGCTACTTGGGAGGCTGAGGCAGAAGAATCACTTGAACCCGGGAGGCGGAGGTTGCAGTGAGCCGAGATCACACCACTGCACTCCAGCCTGGGCGACAAAGCGAGACTCCACCTCAAAAAAAAAAAAAAAAAAAAAAAAAAATCATCGTTATGGTCCATTATAATGGTCTCCTAACTTTTTAAAATTATTCCTCCTATCTTTAAAAAACATTTGCGGCTGGGCGCGGTGACTCATGGCTGTAATCCCAGAACTTTGGGAGGCCGAGGCGGGCGGATCACGAGGTCAGGAGATCGAGACCATCCTGGCTAACACGGTGAAACCACGTCTCTACTAAAAATACAAAAAATTAGCCGGGCGTCGGGGCGGGCGCCTGTAGTCCCAGCTACTCGGGAGGCTGAGGCAGGAGAATGGCGTCAACCCGGGAGGCGGAGCTTGCAGTGAGCCGAGGTCACGCCACTGCACTCCAGCCTGGGCGACAGAGAGAGACTCCGTCTCAAAAAACAAACAAAAACAAACAAACAAAACATTTGCATATACTGAAGCATATCCCAATTTTTATTATTTATATGTAATGCATACAATTATACACTGCTGATATATATATATCTTATAAAACCTGCAAAAATGGACAATGCAAAGGACTTTTTTTGAGATGGAGTCTGGCTGTCGCCCAGGCTGGAGTGCAGTGGCACTTTCTCAGCTCATGGCGACCTCTGCCTCCCGCATTCAAGGGATTCTCCTGCCTCAGCTTCCCAAGTAGCTGTGACTATAGGTGCGCACCACCACACTCCGCTAATTTTTGTATTTTTAGTGGAGAGGGGGTTTTGCCATCTTGGCCAGCCTGGTCTTGAACTCTGACCTCAAGTGATCCACCCTCCTCAACCTCCCAAAGTGCTGGGATTACAGGCGTGAGCCACTGTGCCCAGCCCAATGCAAAGGACTTAACAGACATTTCTCCAAAGAAGATATACAAATGGCCAGTAAGTGCATGAAAAGATGCTCAACATCATTAGCCATCAGGGAAATGAAAATCAAAACCACAATGTGATTCACATCCAATAGGATGGCTAAATTTTTTTTAAAATGGAAAATATTTAACAGTAACTAGTATTGGTCAATGTATAGAGAAACTGGAACCCTAAATCGTTGCTGGTAGAATGTAAAATGGTGTAGCCACTGTGGAAAACAGCATGGAGGATCCTAAGAAATTAAACACAGAAGGCTGGGTACGATGGCTCACATCTGTAATCCCAGCACTTCGAGAGGCTGAGGTGGGTAGATCACTGAAGGCCAGGAGTTCGAGATCAGCCTGGCCAACATGACAAAACCCTGTCTCATTTTTATGTAAAAAATTAAAAAAGAAAAGAAAGATCAGAGGTTACCAGGGACTGGGGGAAGGGGGAATAGGGAGCTACTGCTTAATGAGTATGGGGTTTCTATTTGCAGTGACGACAAATTTTGGAAATAGTGGTGATAGTTGTACAATACCGTGAATTAGTGCCACTGAATTATATATGCAAAAAATGGGGCTGGGCGCAGTGGCTCACACCTGTAATCTCAGCACTTTGGAAGGCTGAGGTGGGTGGATCACCTGAGGTCTGGAGTTCGAGACCAGTCTGGCCAACATGGTGAAACCCCATCTCTACTAAAAATACAAAAGATTGGCCAGGCATGGTGGTGGGTGCCTGTAATCCCAGCTACTTGGGAGGCTGAGGCAGAAGAATCGCTTGAACCCGGGAGGCAGAGGTTGCAGTGAGCTGAGATTGTGCCACTGCACTCCAGCCTGGGCAACGAGAGCGAAACTCCGTCTCAAAAACAACAACCACCACCACCAAAAAAAACCATGGTTACAACGGCAAATGTTGTTATATATATTTCGCCACAATAAAATAGTTTTTTAGAAAGGACAAAGTAAAAATACAAATAGAGGTTATAATATTTTCTTCTCACACTCCAGTGGGTCACCCTGCATGCTATGGGGCAAGGAGATGAGAAGTTTCCAAAGCCAAACCCAAAATTAATGAATCGGATGTGGGGTAGAGGGAATACTGCAGAAGATAAAAATGTCTGAGGCTTGGTAATGCCTAAAACTGAAAAAGAATCTTATTTTTAGGTCTAAAGGAAGGAGGACGCTTTTCTGTAACCTTTCCGCAGAGCTAAATACAGACCATCTGGAAGGTCTCAGCATCCCTCACACCACAGACCCAGAGACCTGAGCCACCTGAATCGCTGCACAAACACCAGGAGAGCCCTCAGCACTCCTAGTCCCAAGCACTCGTTATTAGCACACTTGCTCCCTCACTGCAAGGGCCCAGGTAGTGCCTTACAAAACATACCGTGCGCTTTTTCAGTCGCTTTATGGTCTCAGGTAAGACCCAAGTCCAACTTAAAATACTCCTTTTCAAAGCTGTTTTCAAAGTCATTTTCATCACTTTTCCCTCCTCTGGCTCAAGAGCATCAATCATGGTGAAAAGTGACAGGAAATAATAAAAAGATTAACAGCTCAACATCAAGAAGGACCTACACTGCCCGTGCTGAAAGTGTCAAATATGAGGCTGGCTGAGGACCAAGGTAATCAAAAGTAGAATAGACATGAGTTTGAGGGCTACGCTGACATTTCAGGAGGCAGAAAGTCCTGTTAAACACAGCCATGACAAAGCAAAGGGCCGCCACTGTAGAACAATGTATTTCTGTACCAGCATGCAATACTTAAATTTCCTGTTTGTGATCACAGAATTTCACTGTAAAAATAGGCTTCCACAGATTGATAAATATTTTGATTTTAAATGAGAGCATTTTTCAATTAAAATGTAAGATCTCAGCTTTATAATAAAAGTTAAAATTAAGATATGCTGGACTCTCAGAGCCATCTCAACTTGTCTTTTCTATATAGATTTGTGATGCAGAAATATGAATCAGCTGCCCCTTTCCTTCAGCAATTCCACTGAAACTCGTGACTATACTGCACTGGGAAGGACAAACATATTCTAGAACTGCAATATAAAATAGTTGATTCATACCTTTCAAATTGCTAGAGTGACTGTACCTTATTTTTTAAACAACTTTTTTAAAAAAATTGAGATGTGGTCTCACTGTGTTGACCAGGCTGGTCTCGAACTCCTGGCCTCAAGTGATCCTTCCATTTCGGCCTCCAAAAGTGCTGGGATTATAGGCGTAAGCCTTCATGCCCGGCCTTATTAAAAATAACTATGACTTCCAAATCAAGCCTTTAGAGAGAACTCTCATTTGAAATACCGTATGTCTATGCTATTGTAGTACAAAGTATTCACATATCTGTGTAAAGACTGCTTGTAAACAGATTCCAGTAAGTTTTATGGAATGGAGTGGGAGGCAAGGTTGTGAATATGTAGGTATCATACAGCATAAACAATCTCCTGAGTTCTTAACAAAGCTCTAGATTGCCTATGCTGGGTATGGTTCTACCATTGAGAACTCTTCCACTAATTCAGTCCTATCACAAAAACTTGGTTTTTAAAAGATGAGCCCTCCAAATACAGAGAAATGTGCATCATGAATATTCTTGTTTAAAAGTGTTCCATTTTAGGCCGGGCACGGTGGCTCACACCTGTAATCCAAGCAGCACTTTGGGAGGCCGAGATGGGCAGATCATTTGAGGTCAGGGGTTCAGGACCAACCCGGCCAACATAGGGAAACCCACGTCTCTACTAAAAATACAAAAATTAGCTGGGTGTGGTGGTGCATGCCTGTAGTTCCAGGTACTCAGGAGGCTGAGGCAGGAGAATTGCGTGAACCCAGAAGGCAGACATTGCAGTGAGCCGAGATCGCGCCACTGCACCCCAGCCTGGGTGACAGAGCAAGGCTCCGTCTCAAAAATAAATAAATAAATAAATAAATAAATAAATAAATAAAAGTGTTCCCTTTTAGTTCCAACACTGATATTGCTTCAAAACTCTTCTCTCAAGGCCTTCCAGCATGCTATATTTAAAAAGTTGCCAAACTGGTTTTAACACATCTTTTCAAGACTGATAAGCAAAAGTTTACTGAAGCAGTTTTGGATAAGAGAAACTCAGAATTATTCTATAAGTTTCCTCAAATCTAGCAGCACTTTTTAAATGGAGGGTTGCTAAATAAGCTATAAATTCCCAAAGCCATGAGACATATACATAGGGAAGGCATTTCTCCTTTGGTAAAACACAAACCATACCTTCTTTGGAACTGTAGCTCACATCCTGTTGGACTGACTGCCTTCAAACCTGTTTTGTAGGTATTATGAACAACTGAGTGCAAACAGTAAGTGGTTGTGAAAATAAATTTTCTAATGTGAAAAAAAAAAAAAGAATGAACTGTTAATACAGTTTGGGTTGACTAAGAACTTCAGCAAATGGCAATAATGTTTCCAATCTTTCTTGTGAATCTTAAGTAAGATTTATTCAACTTTCAAAATTCTTTCATTTAACGATGTGGTCATTTACCTGATAACAGATGTAAAGATCCCTGCCCATGTGGATTTTTTTGGCCACTGATATCCATATTTTCGTATATAATAATAAGCTGTCTTTCACTAGGAAAACAATGGCAAATATCACCTACTTTCAGTGTCTGTCAAGAGAATATTTTCATACAGTATAGAAAAACAAAGTGGAAACTCTAGGAAATTGTGTAAATTAAAATCTGTAAATTCACAGTTGACTGGATGTCTCCTCTCATTGTATACTCACAGGTTCAAGAAAACTTGAACATCTGTATCAAGATGCTAGCACTAGGCTGGACCTGGTGGCTCACACCTGTAATCCCAGCACTTTGGGAGGCTGAGGCAGTTGAATCCTTTGAGGTCAGGTGTCTGAGACCAGTTTGGCCAACATGGTGAAACCCCATCTCTACTAAAAGTACAAAAATTAGCTGGGCATGGTGGCGGGCACCTGTAGTCCCAGCTACTCAGGTGGCTGAGGCAGGAGAATTGCTTGAACCTGGGAGGTGGAGGTTGCAGTGAGCCGAGATCACGCCACTGCACTCTAGCCTGGGCGACACAGCAAGACTCTGTCTCAAAAACAAACAACAACAAAACAAGATGCTAGCACTACTTCTGGCTTTTTTTTTTTTAAGACCTTGGCCTCCCAAAGTGCTGGCATTACAGGTGTGAGCCACCGCACCCAGTCTTTTTTTTTCGAGACGGAGTCTTGCTCTGTCACCCAGGCTGGAGTGCAGTGGTGCAATCTCAGCTCACTGCAACCTCCACTTACCGGGTTCAAGTGATTATCCTGCCTCAGCCTCCCCAGTAGCTGGGGTTACAGGTACACACCACCACTCCCGACTCATTTTTGTGTTTTTAGTAGAGATGGGTTTTCACCATGTTGGGCAGGCAGGTCTCGAACTCCTGACCTCGTCATCTGCCAGCCTTGGCCTCCCAAAGTGCTGGGATTACAGGCATGAGCCACTGCACCTGGCCTATTTCTGGCTTCTTAAAGCCATCTCAAGCACCAGATTGTCTTTTTCCTCTGTACTGATTAAAATTAGTTACTGTGAAAGGACAGACTCAGGCAAGCCTGTCCTACAAGAAAAACATTCTATGTGCCTTCTCTTAGGATAGAATACAAATGCTGTGTTTGCACATAAAACTATTTTCTTTCATGTATAGTTTTTTTTTAATAACTCTGGGTTTCATTTTCTGACATTTTTAGAATACTTCCTTATATTCTAAATGGATTTTTAAAAACCTAGATTCTCCCGCACAACAATGTGAATACACTTAACACTACTGAACTGTGTGCTTAAAAATGGTTCAGATGGTAAATTATTTTATTTTATTTTATTTTTTGAGATGGAGTCACGCTCTGTCGCCCAGGCTGGAGTACAGTGGCATGATCTTGTCTCACTGTGACCTCTGCTTCCCGGCTTCAAGCCATAATAATAAATTTTAC
The DNA here is from genome assembly GCF_000001405.40 of Homo sapiens. Classification (NCBI taxonomy): domain Eukaryota; kingdom Metazoa; phylum Chordata; class Mammalia; order Primates; family Hominidae; genus Homo; species Homo sapiens. The sequence continues at coordinate 7,059,287 of NC_000006.12, read as the reverse complement.
ATGTATACTTTCCCACAATTAAAAAAACCCCACTAGACTCTATCAACTTCCACTGTTTATTGGGTAGGGGTGGAGCAATAACAAAATGACCCACCCTTGGCTTCAACAGTTAGAGACTTAGAAAAATGGACAGCTTGAATTCTGTGTATGTGATGCTGGAGTCGGGTATGGGGTGTGGGGTGTGGTGTGATCCTACCCCTCAAACCCTCCACCATCAATTTTAAACATTCATTTCCGCCTGCTCATTCACCAGGCATGTAATAATATAGACAGGTGAATTCGTCTCTTTACAGCTTATAAACCAAATGGGAAAATGAAGAGCAAATGATAATTGTAGGCAGATCATCAGCATCAAACTAATTCAAAGCTGGCTGTGACAACGTGTGTAACTGCTGCTCCACAGGACAGACATTTGTCTTCTGACAATAAAGAAAGAAACATATACCTAGAGAGCCAGGTATTCCTTGAGAAAGGTGTTCATACTCATCACCTTTTAGAAATCCCCCTCCAAGTTTCTGACAATCCATCTATCTCTAAACTAGAAACATTTGTGGGTTTGGAGCCTGCAGCCTGCCTGGCCTTACCTCTGACTACTCAGCTCCCTTGAAGAGGATCAGCCAGCCTACTCCTGAGAGTACTGCCAAATACCACACCCTGGGTCTGTGTATCCAAAGGTACAGGAAGTGGTCTGTCCAATGCCTGGGTGATTGCATCATTCCAACAAGCTTCAATGTACAAAGTTTGAGTCACTCTCCACTCTCCACATAGCTCTTCAACCCAAATCTCCTTCCAGCCTAGCAGCAGGGCAGAGGACTTCTGACACATCCCTCCACTCTTTCAGACCAGTGCTAAATTTGGAAAGCAGCAGGTCATCTGGATAAAAACAACTTTGAGCACCACTATCAATGACCGTCCATCATATACAAAAGCAAAAGGACAGGTTGAAACGAACTCATAAAAAGTTTGAGCTCTTTCTCTCCCTGGGAGAGACATAGGAGGTCTCACGGGAAGGTCTCAGGCTCTACAACAAACTAGCTAAGAAACTGGTTCCCCAAAATGATCCATACCGGAGTGACCTGTAAAGCTTATTAAAAATACAGACTGGCTGGGCACGGTGGCTCATGCCCATAATCCTGGCACTTTGGGAGGCCCAGGCGGGTGGATCACTTGAGGTCAAGAGACGGAGACCAGCCTGGCCAACGTGGCGAAACCTTGTCTCTACTAAATATACAAAACTTAGCTGGGCATGGTGGCACGCGCCTGTAGTCCCAGCTACTCGGGAGGCTGAGGCAGGAGAATCACTTGAACCCAGGAGGTGGAGGTTGCAGTGAGCCGAGATCGCGCCACTGCACTCCAGTCTGGTGATAGAGCGAGACTCTGTCTCAAAAAAAAAAAAAAAAAAAAAATGGACTGCTGGCCCAGGAGATTCTGGTGCAACAACTATGTGGTGCGGCCTCTTAATCTGATGAGGCAGGTTAGGGAGCCGCTGGGTTAAAGCACTTGGTTGGAACAGTGCTGAGTCAGCGTATCGGTTCTAACTAAAGCCAAGGAATGACTAACTTACACTCTATGAGGAAGGAGGACAATCTGCAAAATTACATATATATGTAATTTTATTAATACATTTACATTTATTAATGTTAATTTATATATAAATATATATTAAAAAATTTTTTTTGACAGAGTCTCATTCTGTCACCCAGGTCTGGTCTCGAACTCGTGGCCTCAACTGATCCATCCGCCTCAGTCTCCCAAAGTGCTGGGATTACAAGCATATCACTGCTCCCGGCCTGCAAAATTATATTTTGAGGCAAGTTCTAATTGTGAATGTTCCCTAAAACTAGTCCTTTGCCACCAAATTCAAATTTAGGTGCTCATTCACACGTGTGAATGATAATCACCTCTATATAGATGACTCACAGCTCTAGTTTCAGCCCTGACCCATCGATTGCCCCTAACTCACCTAAACCCAGCTACCCCTCCTAGCCTTAAATGCAAATCAACCCTTCAACCTACCTTGAACACTGGCTTCCTGTTCTCATTTCTGTTGATAGTCCCACCTCTCAAGGTCTCTCTGGATTTAAATCCTCTGTCATCTTGGACTCTTCAATCTCCTGCCTTCCACATCTAAACACTATAAAATGATGACAATTTTTCTTTCATAACAACTCACAAAGCATTGTGTTCCAAGCAATTCCCATTGATACTATCCTTGTCCAGGTCCCCTTGGTTCCCTGCAATAGCCATTCATGGCCCCTAAACTCCCACTCCAATCGGACCTATAAGATTAACTTTCCCCAAATCCAACTTTGACCATGTATTTCCCCTGCTCAAAATCCTTTCATAATTCCCTATTACCTGCATATAAGGGCCTAACACTATAATCTATCATTAAATGACAGATTTCATACATGATCCATCTCTTCTAGCAAAGCTGACCTATTCAAATTCCCCAAAGGTGTCGTGCAAATTGCTGCCTCTTGGCTTATCTCACTAGGCTTATGCCACTAGGAATGCCTCTCTCTCACTAGGTATAAAATCATGTACAGCCTTTAAGGCCTAAGTTCAAGTCCTACCATCTCCCTTTGAAGCACTTCCTGATGGCTGCCACCTAACAGCCACCCTCCCAGAACACACCCAGCACCCCGCAACATCTGAACCTTTCTTCCTTCCCCTCTCCCTTCCCTCGTTCCCTCTGCGTTCTACTTTTGACAAAGCTAAACTTGGTTCCTAGTACTCCACACAGTCCTCTTGGCCCAGCCTGCTTTGCTCTCTGGCCTTTCTGGAAGTTCCTGGGCACTTTTTGTCTGACACTTCATTGACAGTCACTCATACAGTGGCTTCCCGGCAATGTTTCCTCAAAAAGAGCAAATCTCTTATACAGAAGCAGTACAGGTTTATTACCAACATTTTAGAGAATAAATAGAAGAAGAAAAAACTTTAAAAAAACTCTTATTATTCCACTTCTCAACTCATGGAAACTTTCTTTTTTTTTTTGAGACAGAGTCTCGCTCTTTCGCCCAGGCTGGAGCGCAGTGGCACTAGCTTGGCTCACTGCAAGCTCCGCCTCCTGGGTTCATGCCATTCTCCTGCCTCAGCCTCCCCAGTAGCTGAGACTACAGGTGCCCGCCACCGTGCCCGGCTAATTTTTTGTATTTTTAGTAGAGACGGGGTTTCACCGTGTTAGCCAGGATGGTCTCGATCTCCTGACCTCGTGATCCGCCCGCCTTGGCCTCCCAAAGTGCTGGGATTACATGCGTGAGCCACCGCGCCTGGCCAACTCATGGAAACTTTCGTAAGTGAATCCATCATCTCTTTTTATGCACATTTTTTTTCACTTTTTTTTTTCTTGAGGCAGGGTCTGGCTCTGTTGCCCAGGCTGCAGTGCAGTGGTGCAATCTCCGCTCACTGCAACCTCCGCCTCCCAGGTTCAAGTGATCCTCCTGTCTCAGCCTCCAGAGTATCTGGGATTACAGGCTTGCGCCACCACCCTGGGCTAATTTTTGTATTTTTAGTAGAGAGACAAGGTTTCACCATGTTGGCCAGGCTGGTCTCCAACTCCTGAGCTCAAGTGATCCACCCACCTCAACCTCCCAGAGTGCTGGGATTATAGGCGTGAGCCACTGTGCCTGGCCTTACTGGTGTTTTTATTTAACTCTTCAACAGTTAAACTTCTTGGCCGGGTGCGGTGGCTCACGCCTGTCATCCCAGCACTTTGGAAGGCTGAGACAGGCGAATCACTTGAGGTCGGGAGTTCGAGACTAGCCTGACCAACATGGAGAAACCCCGTCTCTAATAAAAATACAAAATAAGCCAGGCATGGTGGCGCATGCCTATAATCCCAGCTGCTCAGGAGGCTGAGGCAGGAGAATTGCTTGAATCTGGGAGGCGGAGGTTGCAGTGAGCTGAGATCACACCACTGCACTCCAGCCTGGGCAACAAGAGCAAAACTCTATCTCAAAAAAAAAAAAAAAAAAAAAAAAAAGCCACTGCACTCCAGCCTGGACAACCTTGTGAGACCCTGTCTCTAAAAAAATATTTAAAACAGTTAAACTTCTTATATTTGTCATCTAGCTGTTGAACCCTTTGACTCTTAAAAGAACATGCATATACTTACTTCTCTGTAACTCTCAAAGTGTTAAACATAGATCTGCACAAGAATAGGTGGCTCAGATGTTTAAAACATTCATTCAAAAAATATTTTGAGGGTGTCAGTGAGTAAATGGTTCCAAGCGCATTGCCCACGGTAATCTATGTGAAAACCTGCTATACGTAGATGATTTCTTGAAAAGTGCCCCAAAATGTATATATCAAACGTTCTAAATATACAGGAACACTTCACAATATGAAGAACCCTATTGGTAATCTTTTCTTAACAGATACTCATTCTTTAATTTGCTTTATTAATCTGATTTACAGCTAAAATGCAGATCACCCTAGATATAAATGTTTCATGAATTCAGAGATGAAATATGGGGGTAGGCAGAAAGGATGAGAGGAAAAAGGAAGTTTGCCACTTCATTTTACTTAAATTTTCAATGTATTTCTATAGCAACAATTCTGGTTTGAACCAAAATTTTAAAGTCTAATTATCTTACATAGAAGGAAATCCTGCTCCTTAACAGGGTGACAAAATCTAAGATCATGAATGTGTTCAAGTTCCAAGAAAACTTTTGTATAACTCTGTTATTTTCATTCAGAATGCAAGACTATTCAAAGTATAGAATTTGTGATCTTTCAACTACAGCTGTTCTGCAGTTTAAGCAAACACCATAAATGAAAATAATGACTTTTGCCAGTTGAACTGGATTCTCTATCCAGAAAATAATGTAGAAAATCCAGGCCAGGTGTGGTGGCTCACTCCTGTAATCCCAGCACTTTGAGAGATTGGGAGAGGAGGATTGCTTGAGCCTGCCCATATGAGTTCGAGACCAAGCTGGGCAACATGGTAAGACCCCATCTCTACAAAATTAAAACAACAGCAACAAAAACTAAAAAAGTCCAGTCTACCTCCTCAAAGAAGGCAATTGTTTTTGTTTTGATTTTTTTTTTAAGACGGAGTCTCGCTCTGTTGCCTCAGCTGGAGTGCGGCGGCGCAATCTCGGCTCACTGCAAGCTCCGCCTCCCAGGTTCAAGGGATTCTCCTGCCTCAGCCTCCCAAGTAGCTGGGACCACAGGCGCATGCCACCACACCCAGCTAATTTTTTTTATTTTTAGTAGAGACAGGGTTTCACCATGTTAGCCAGGATGGTCTTGATCTCCTGACCTCGGGAGCCGCCCGTCTCGGCCTCCCAAAGTGCTGGGATTACAGGCGTGAGCCACTGCGCCCGGCCAATAAGGCCAATTGTTATTATTATTCTCATTCTACTAGTGAGACAACTTCAGCAAGGTTTACCTAGTTACCAATAAATAAGTAAATAAATGTAGACTGGGGATAATTACATCTCCACAAAAGTTTTCACAACAAAATAACCTCTACTTTTATATATTTAGAATATAATTCAATTGATTAGTTTCTGTCTCCTAAGAATATACTATATACTCCTTAAAGTAAAATACATCTCAATGTATGTTTCTTTATTTTAGAGTGCCTTGGATACAGAAATTTACAGCCTAAGTCAGCTTTTCAGATAACCCTTAAGAGGATAACACACCCCTTTTTTTGCTTCTAGATAAAAAGTCCCAGCAGTTGCACATTGCTTCTGGGTTTGCAGCTTCACTGCTCTTTGGGCCTTGGTTCAGCAGCCCTGCCTACACCTTGTGACTAAGGTCCACTGGACAAAACCGGATGCAAAAAAATGGGACAAAAACCAGGTAGGGTGCTCAAGAAGAGTTTGGGCTATACACTCACACAGCTAAATTTCCCTTTGCAGTCTCATCTTTTTTTTTTTTTTTCTTGATTTTGCTTGTCTCGCTAGCATTCAAACCCAAAGCCCATCCCTTTTAAATCTCCATTCCTCCCTTTCCAAATCATCACGTGCCTGGGGTGTGAGATGCCACTGTGCTCATGAGGGAACTGGGCTGCTCTCCTTCTGCTTTGAGGAGGGTCGTTTTTTTTTTTTCTTCTTCTTTTAATAAAGGCCTTTTCACGTTTGTTTCTCAGGCCTTCCTCAAATACAAAACTGTCACTGTCCCCTGCTCCTTCCAACTCTAGGATATCAGCTTCAAACCTTTGTATGAACTAAGTGGTGAGTAGTAAAACTTTGGTAAATGTATGGCAGCCCGGGCGTGCATTTGGAAGACAAACCCTAACGCAAAAACGTTTAGTTCGTATTCTCTGAAATAGTAAAAAAACAAACACAGAGCAAAACTCCACCTCCTCCCCAGCTTTCCTTTCACGTCTTGGTTCGGTAATAAGAAAAGTTAATCCACCCCCTAGTGCAACTGCAGCCTCTTTCTCGGCCAGGCTCACCTAGAACACTCACTGCATCATTGCATCCAAGCCAAACTCGGTTACTGAGGCAACCAAGTTTTCCTTCCCAAAGGGTCACAGGGAAACACATCCCTCGGGATCCCCTGGTAACCGTCCACCGATAATGCTGGGGAACCACAACAGCAAATGACTCGCTTTCCAAGGCTGGAGCTGGCCGCCTCGGTCGGCCACAGCGGGGGTGTGCGTGGGGGGTATGCAGCATCCAGTTACATTCCTGACCCACTTTCGCGTCCCCTCCCTCCCCCTCCTCTTCCTCCTCCTCCCAGACAGGCCGCGAGGGCGCCAGCGCTCCGAGGAGCCATCCGCGAGCACTCCCCAGACAGCTGCCGGCTGGGTGCACCCGGCGTCGGGCACTACGGGGGGGACGCCGAGGGAGCCTGCCCCCGCCCCCACCCCCACCCCCGGCTTCCCTGCGCGCTCCCTCCTCGGTCACATGGACCCGCGAGCACCTGTTGGCAACCTCAGCCCCAAGCCGAGCCCCCCGCCGCCCCCTCTCCACCCTCACAGCAAAATTCCTTGCGGGAGGGAATGGGAAGACCGCCCAGTTCCCGTTCTGCAAACCCCGCTTTGCTAGGAGGGCGCAGGGGCCGGCGGGCGACGCCTGCACAGCTGCTCAGCTTAGGAAAGTGCAAAAGCGCCGCAGGCAAGCGGCGACTCGGTAGAGGGGATCCTAACCACCCCCTCCACGCATCACCCGCCTCCCCCGAGGCGGAGCGGGGAGATGGGGTGCGCCCGCCCCCAGCCCAACTCCGCTGGAAACCTGGGCTCCTCGCGGGCGCAGGGTGGGGATGCTGTGGAGTCCCGGCCGGGGCCGCAGGGGCGAGGGCAGGTAGCGGGTGGTGACGGGTGGGTGTGCGTTCCGGGTAGCCCAGTGCAGGAAGGGGGAGGGAAGCTGCCGTCGCAGCTGCAACTTCTGAGCGTGCAGAGCAACTCAGCAACTTTGCCTGCCCGGCGCGCCCCTCCCCCGCGCCACCGGGCCGGGCCGGGGGCTGCGCGGCGCCTTGCGGGCAGACTGGAGGTGCGGCCCAGTGGGGAAGGGACTGGGCTGGGGCTGCGGAAGTGGCACAGCCTCTCGGGGGACAGGAGTTGGGGGGCGCACCCACGCGCCCCGAGGCTTGAAAAATACGCCCGGGCCCCGCGCCGCGCACGCACCCCGCAGCCCCACACCAGCCAGGCCCTCGACTGCCGCTGGGCTCCGCGCGAGGAAGGGGGCGGAAGGATGGCGGCGGAACCATGGAAACTGTGCTCGGTGGATAAATAAGGAGAGGGCCGCGCTAGGCCGTCCCGGGCTGCCAGCATCTCGGAAGGCGGATGCAGCGCCCGGGGGAAGCGCGGCCCAGTTCGCACAAGTTGTTCTTCCCGAGCCGCCGCAGGGCTGCTGCCCTACCGCCCGGCTCCGCGCCGCAGCCGCCCTCGGGGGACGCCGCCTGGAGAGGCAGGCCCCAGCCTGGAAGGAGGCCGCCGGCGGGGGCTACGAGGTGTGGGGCAGAGGAGAGTGTGAAGGTGACCCCGGGGTCATCAGGTGTTTGTTCCGGGTCTTAAGGACCGCGCAAAGCCCTGCCGGTCTCGCTAGTCCCAGGTGCGCGTCCCGGAAGGTGAATTCATGTAGTTCAGACATTCTGAAGCTTCAGTGGGGCTAAATCCAGAAGTACAGGGAACCTGGGACGGCCTGGGATGGTACCCCATGTCCCCGAAGTTCTGCCCACACCCCTTCAGGGCGGCTCCCGGGAGTCGGATTGGCAACAGGGAAGCAGGATGTAAACTGGGAGGCTCTGGCCAGGCCCGGGCGCTCAACCGCACCCATTCCCTGCAAGCAAACTTAGCCTCCAACCTTCCTCCCCAGAGCTCTTCATCTGACTCACTGCCGAGTTACTGATGCTCTCCGGCCAAGCCTATTGCCTGTAAAGCTAGAGATTTCAATGGTGGTGTTATGAAGTTGAGTCACTTCAGGGTGTGGGGATCTTCAGACGCAAAGGGGTTATTTCAAGCGAAAGTAAACTACCTGCGCGGAGAAGCCTGGCAACCAGCTGAACGATTTAATTACATGCCATCTTAATTTAAAGAGATTTGCATGTTCATGAGGCCAGCTGGACAGTTACATTGTGATGTGTACCTGGAAATTACTTTTTAACTGGATAAGGTCAATTTATTTCACACCACGAACGGGTGAACAGTATTTCTCTTTTTTTGGATTCAACATTTTTGGTTCTTTTACTTCTTTTTCTCTTTTCTCTAATCCCACGACATTATTTTCTTTTACTTCTTAATGAAAAAAAAAATAACCTTCTACCCTTTTCCTCTGAAATAATTATGAAAGTCTAGGCTAGAGCGTAGTTTTCCAGAATACCATTCCAAAGAACTAAATCTTCAATATGGCCTTAAGTTATATTTGAAAAAAGGGCTCTGTGGTCATATATCACAACACATTTATTCCCAGATATACACAGTTTTGAATGTTAACATCTCTGATGTCTTCTATTTGGTGCCATCTTAGCATTGGGTCATAGTTTAATTGGCTATGATTTTCTTTCTTAGTGGTCCATAAAATAAGGAAGTTTGAGAAATGCTGAGTTAAGCAAGTTAAATCAAGTATATTTGTTACACAAGAAATAAATACAGCAGTGTAAGGCCTTTCAGAATCTTTGATGTGCTAAGGTGTTTGTGAATCACCACGAAGAGTTTATAATATGAAAACTTTCCTAAGTATGTTTGTTCAGTCACCGTTTTTGTTTTTTGTTTTTTGGTTTTTTTTGGTGAGGATTTTGCCCAGGGCTAGTGTTCCTTCTGGGTACTGCTGCTCTGCTGCTCTAGGAATTGTGCCAGATTTGAACAGGGTTGAGAGAAGTGTTCACGTTTCAAAATGGTGTCATTAGGAATCATCAACTGATAAACTAAATTTTAGTATAATTACCAAAAAGAGAAAGACCATTTGAGGAAACATTCAGAGGCAGACCTGTTCACATTTGGCTGTAGTGGAAACTGAATCAGGACCATCTTTAGAGAACTGGTTCCAGTGAACATTTAGTATGTCGGAAAATTCATGCATCTGATATATCTAATCCATGTTACACTACCTCCTGCATTATTTTAATTTGTAGGAGTCAATAAAAATGTCTTATTTAAAGTAGACTGGCACTAAGCCACTCCCCAATTACTTACAAAAAGTCCCCCAAAACATTGTTATAGAAAAATAAGAAAGGGTGGTGAGCACATGAAAGTGTACTCTAGGCTGGGCGCGGTGGCTCATGCCTGTAATCCCAGCACTTTGGGAGGCCAAAGCGGGAGGATCACCTGAGGTCAGGAGTTGGAGACCAGCGTGACCAGCGTGGAGAAACCCCATCTCTACTAAAAATACAAAAAATTAGCTGGCCGTGATGGCGCATGCCTGTAATCCCAGCTACTCGGGGGGCTGAGGCAGGAGAATCGTTTGAACCTGGGAGGTGGAGGTTGCGGTGAGCCAAAATCCCACCATTGCACTCCAACCTGGGCAATAAGAGTGAAACTCCATCTCAAAAAAAAAAAAAAAGAGCAGGAGGCATGTACAATTTTCCAAAGACAAATGAAATTGGAGATAGAAGGCCAGATGTGATGGTTCACACATGTAACCCCAGCCTTTTGGGAGGCCAAAGCAGGAGGATCTCTTGAGGTCAGGATGAGACCAGCCTGGGGCAACAACGAAAAAATCCATCTCTACAAAAAACTTAAAACAAAAAATTAGCTGAGCATGTTGTCATGTGCCTGTGGTCCCAGCTACTCAGGAGGCTGAGGTGGGAGGATTGCTTAAGCCCAGAAGTTTGAAGCTGCAGTGAGCTGTGATTGCACCACTGCGCTCCAGCCTGAGTGACAGAGTGAGACCTTGTCTCTGGAAAAAAAAAAAAAAAAAAATTGAGCATAGGAAAGAAAAATCTACCTCACTAATCCCTTACTAAAGGTAAGAAGTAAAGCAGAGATTTTTATAAGCAAATAAAATATCCTACTTAGAATGTTTAAAATACAAATATAAAATGTGAATTTATGTGCATTAGCTCATTTCACGGTACAGTAATCCTGTAAGGTAGATGGAGCCACCATTCTTACCCTCAGATTGCATACCCTCCCATTCATTTATGTAACAAGCACTTATTGAGAACCTACCAGGCTCCAGACAGGACCCTGGACTTTGATGATAGAAAGACAAATATGAGAAAACCCTACTTTCTAGAAACTCACTTTTGATAGGAGAGATGATATGTAAAATAAATAATTGTAATACAGTGTGACATTAGGGCTTAAAAAGGTTAACGACTTACCCAAGGGACCTAGAGTCAGGATTCAACTAGTCTTATGATTTCATAAGACCCACTCTCTTTTACAATAGACATTCTCTCATTTTTGAAAATAACACCATGCCGATACAGCTTTTGACATAGACATAAAACCAAACATGTTGAATCTTAAAAGCCAGAAAGAAATTTAGAAATTACATAGGCTAAGCCACTCTTTTTACAGGCCTGGAAACTGAGACAAAGAAGGGAGATATGCTCAAGGTTATACAGTTATATAACAACCACATGAAGATTAGAATCAAGGATCCCCCGCCCCCAGCTCTGTGCACTTTAAGGCACTGCCCTACCGTAAGAGACAGTGAGAAGAAGTCTTAATAGAGCCTGTTTCCACTGCTGTGCAGTGTTTGGGCCCATCTCAATAAAGGCCTAGAGTGATTGTTGAATCAGTGATAAAATGTCCCATGACTAAGCGCTTATTTAAAGACATATTTCTCAGAGGAACTGTAAGGGGATTTCAGCTATGTGAGTTCCTTAAAAACAGCCACTATCCTTAAAAGTTGAAGATACAATTGATTTTAAAAAGTAAACAAATATGGGATGTTTGGGGAAATTTGAATACTATCTATTAAAGACTATTAAAGAATTATTGTTACTGGTTTGAGTATTAGTGAATTTGTGATCATACTGTTTTTTTCAAAGAGTTCTCATGTCTTAGACATACATCATGAAATATTTGCACCAAAATGATGTGATGTCTGGTATTAAAATAATGCAGCTTTTTTTTTTTGGCGGGTTAGAAAATGAAAAATATAAATGAAATAAGATGCCATGTGCTGAAACTGGGTGGTAGGCATGTGAGAATTCATTATACTATTATCTCTACTTTTATGTATCTTTAAGAATTTCCAAAATAAAAAGAGCTTCTTTTTTGTCTATATGAAAGAAAAATATTTTCCCTTCATTTTAGTTATGCACAGAAAGGGATACGCTCTATTTATTTCAGCCAGCTGACATTCTTCCTATGGAATATTAAGTTAGTCCCAACGCCACATCATCATGGAATCTATAGTATCATTAAGGGCCTCTTTGTGGCTAAGAAGAGTTGGTGCATTTCTGTTTTTATTACAAGATTTATAGAGCTGGTTTATAATACTGTATTCTTAATTGTATGGGTAATATATTTAAAACACATGTGGTAGCTATGGTTCTGCTTCTATTTTGAATGACTTTGGATTTTTTTCTCTTTCTATTCATATAAGGTGTATCTGCATCTGGAAACGATCAAAATCTCACAAAGACAACACAATGAATGTGGTTAATTTAAGGGATAGACACCACTGAGGTTATAAGCAAGATCACTATCATTCAATAAATATTTGATTAGCAAAACTTCTGGTTTTGTAGGGAGCTGAAAAACTGTAACATGGGCTGGATTTCTAAGCACATGGAAATGAAACTAATTGCAAGATGAGACTAACTTCACAGGCTCAGATGCTTAGGGGAAAAATATTTTTATTTCACCTTGCTTAAATTACAGAAAAACACTTTAAGGATGTGTTGAGCATCCCTTCCTGCTTTCACATCATATTTCTGCTCGAAGTCAGTGGTTCCCAGTTGATGGCTAAATACTCCCTCAGGGACACCGAGTTACTGCAAAGGGTCAACAGTGCTTTATGTGCACCCAGCACTTCCTGCAGATGGAATAATAGTACTGACATATAAAGGCACTCTGTCCAAATGTATGTCTTTGTCATTAATTAATAAACCACAAATTCATTTAAAAGCATTTTTACATTCATAAATTTTTACATTATTATTATGTTATGTATCTTTTATTTATGTATTTAGTTTTTTGAAACAGAGCCTCCCTCTGTTACCCAGGCTGGACTGCAGTGGTGTGATCTTGGCTCACTGCAACCCCTGCCTCCCGGGTTCGAGTGATTCTCCTGCCTCAGCTTCCCGAGTAGCTTGGATTACAGGTGCATGCCACCATGCCCAGCTAATTTTTATGTATCTTTTAAATTAATGAATACTAAAGTAAAGCTATTGTCTTATATATGTGGTGGGGGTCAAAAAAGGAGAACCAACTCTGAAGAGAGAGAAAATCAATTTAGTAAAGCAGACATTCTCTTTCTCTCTCTCTCTTTCTCTCTCTATCCTTATTTTATGTAACATAATTTTTTGATTGATTTTATGGGATATAACGGTGTTGGGGATAACTCTATGCTCTCATCACATTTGTTTTATCATTTGGCTATCAAAACTGGAAACTCCAAACATCTCTTCTTTGCAACTTCTTTATTACCTAACCTACTTTGGTGCCCAAAGCCAAGAAAAGGTTTTACAATCCATGCACACTACCAGACCTGAAATACTGAAGATCTACGTCTCTGCTGGAATTTTTTATGGTCATGAAAACAAAATTGAGTGGTACTTGTCAGAAACACAAATGGTGTTCATAGTGACACAGAAGGTTTTATTACTAAGTATATTTTTACTCTGAATATCTCTACTTGCCCTGTATAATTTTCCCTTCAGCAGGGTATCTTTTTTTTTTTTTTTTTTTTTTTAAGGGTCTTTAGTCTTGGATTATTACAGCAAGCAAACAAGCAGATGGCATCATTGCTGAGCAGGGTTCCAGTGCGAAGGATGATACACTGAGCTCCCAAATCATAATTGAAGGTGGGATTAGTTGGAAGAATCTTGTTTATTAACAAAATCCTCTTCATTTATTTTATTCCCCAATAATAATTTGCCACTTACTAAGCCCTTATTCTGCACCTGGCATTTTATGCTAATCTTCACAACAACCCTAAGAGGCAAAGCTTCTTCTTCCATATTTTACAGATGAGGAATCTACGCTTAACAAGGCTAAGTAATTTAAGGTCATGCAGCCAGTGAGTGACAGAATTAGAATTAGAACCCAAGTCTGTGACTCCAAAGCCCTAACTAGCACAGATGGGGCTTCCTCACCAACTCTTAGATGTCATGCTTTGAACCCCTGGTTATCTTTGCAAAGGCAAGAATTGCTGTAAACTGAGCCCAAATAAGGACAGCTGTCTCCTTAGCATCATTAGTCACTTCTTCCTTCATCACTTCCCAGTGGATAGGAGGTTAGTAAGTGGCTTAACCGCTACCGAGATCATCCGCACACTCCATGCACAGATGGCACAGGGCTAGATGTGACTTAACCTAATTATTCTGCCCTTTCTGGCTCTTACTTCTAGAAATAGTCATCAAAAAAAGGGAGACTTTGAAAGACTTATTTAGGTCTCTCTACCTGAAAGAAGAGAAAATTATTTTGGAGGCAAATGAATTTCTAACTTTCCTGAAAGAAAGGGAGATTTTTTTTTTTTTTATGACTTGTCTGAGGAGAAGTCAATGAAGAGGCTGTTGCACACAATAGCTATTGAGTCACAAATAACACATGCACCCTGGAAGATTCCACTATTTGGCACGTATGGTGGCTAAAAAAGTGGAGAATCTTCTTGGTTTCTCTTCCCACCCAGCCTTTCTTAGGTACTTTGACGAGAAGGCACCTCTCACTTTCTATGAGCTTTGTAGGACCCTGAGCCATATTACCATCAGCTAAAGTCTTTATTTATTTTTAATTCTTGAGACAGAGTCTCGCTCTGTCACCCAGGTTGGAGTGCAGTAGCACAGTCTCGGCTCACTGCAACCTCTGCCTCCCGGTACAAGTGATTCTCTGGACTCAGCCTCCCGAGTAGCTGGGATTACAGGTGCCTGCCACCATGCCTGGCTAATTTTTGTATTTTTAGTAGAGACGGGGTTTCACCATGTTGGCCAGGGTGATCTCGAACTCCTGAGCTCAGGTGATCTGCCCACCTCGGCCTCCCAAAGTGCTGGGATTACAGGCATGAGCCACTGCGCCCGGCCAATAATGAAGTCTTTAACTGGCCATTTTCCTCAGTGTATTTTTTCCTCATCATGTCCACTTCAAGATGGATGAAGAAGCAGCCTCTCTAACCACCCCAACTTTAAATCCAGTAGGATTGTCTGCCAGAAATAAACCCCTCTCTTCAGGAAGACAAAGGCCAGGTGTTTCAGGCTGACAGCTTCTGAGATCTCCCCTACACTACATAAATCGTCACCACTCGCTGGGTAGACAAATAAGAGGAAGCCACTTAAAAAGTTTATCAAAAAGTAGAAAAAGTTATTCAAAAAGTAGAGATGGGGTCTTGTTATGTTGCCCAGGCTGGTCTTGAACTCCTGGCCTCAAGTGATCCTCCTGCTTTGGCCTCCCAAAGTGCTGGGATTACAGGTGTGAGCCACCGTGCCTGCCTGGAAGCCACTTATATTTGAGAGTTGGGAGGAAGGGACGGCTTTCTGGACCCAAGGAAACAGCAAGGCAGCAGGGCAGGGAGCAGGTGCTACTGGCAGGTGGCCGGCACTGCTGCTGGCCTGGAGGGTGAGGGACAGCAGGAAGACGGCAGACTAAGAGGCTGCACGCTTTGTGGAAATAGCTGAAAATAGAACGTGAGGTTAGGCCCTGAGAATTCGACTCCTGCTAATGGCAAAGAGAGAAGCCGAGGTCTTCCGTACGTAAGACCAAGGCAACAAATAGGGCCATTGCACACCCTGGGTCTGGCCTGCCTGCCTAGGATGCCAGCTCTCAGCCCTCACTCGTGGAAAGAGCTCAACTTTTAATTTTTTTATTTTATTAGTATTATTATTTTGAAACGGAGTCTCACTCTGTTGCCAGGCTGGAGTGCGGTGGCGGGATCTCGTTGCAACCTCTGCCTCCCGGGTTCAAGCGATTCTCCTGCCTCAGCCTCCAGAGTAGCTGGGACTACAGGCGCCTGCCACCACGCCCAGTTAATTTTTATATTTTTAGTAGAGACAGGGTTTGGCCATGTTGGCCAGGCTCGTCTCGAACTCCTGACCTCAGGAGATCCACCCGCCTCAGCCTCCCAAAGTGCTGGGATTACAGCATGGTGAGCCACTGTGCCCGGCAACTTTTTAATAATTTGTCTTCTTGCTGAATAACAAAGCTATCTAAGTAAAAAGATGTGTGTGTGTCTCTGTGTGTGTGTGTGTGTGTTTCACCTACTTGGTTGATTGGGGTCACAGTTGCAGTTTACACTGAGCCTCTAAATTTTATTTGGAAGACAAAGCAATATTTCTTTTGCTTCTTTTTTCTTTTTCTTTCTCTGTCCTGCTTTTAGGCAAGAAAGCAATATTTCATATCACAAGTTCAGCTGCTGCTGCTGACAGACAGTTTGCTCTGACTGTTCTTCACCAGACGAGGCAGGTTAAACTCTTGTCAGCCATATGTTGATTTGTTAACACTACCCATGTCCCAGGTAGCAGGCTCAGATGGGTCTCAAAATAGACCAGGCACACATGGCTGATAAGATCCCAGTGGGCAGAAGATAATGTTACACCATCTATGACATAACCTCTAGAATAATCACTGCTGCCCTTTGCTCCAGAGTCCAGCTCCAGTGCATGCAAACGTGGAAAGTCCTCAAACAGTGGGGGGTTTAGTGTGTGTGTGCTTTCCTTGAAATTGGTTAAACTTCCACTCAGCTTTGGAAGCTTCTAATAAGCGGTTCACAGCCTTTTCTTCTCTTTCTTCTCCTTTTTTGCTTCAGTGGGATGGATGGCCAAACAAACTTTCTGGTGGCTGTTAAGAAGAACAAAATTCTTTGCAGAAGCACGTGCCAGTGTTTTACAATGCACAGCACACATCGAGGCCTGCGGCACACACTGGAACACAATCGGATTCTGGAGCTCTAGGGACAAAGAGCACTGCTAATTTGTGCAGCCGCTGCCTTAGAATGGTGAGCAGGGAGGACACTCTAAGGAGAGGGAGTCAGGGCATCAGCGCAAATTGGTTTTCCAGGCGAAGGAAGGGGAAAGCCTCATCTTGGAAGAAATTTCAGTTTCTGTGGACCTGTGGACCTGATGTCGGGTTACCTCGCCCCTCCCCAGCAGGAGCCGAATGCCCGTGCCTTCTCTCCTGGAAAGCTGCCTTTCTAAGCTAGAGAACTGCTGCCACAAACCGATTCTGAGAGGAAGGGAATGTACTCTTCATATTTGTAGAGAAAACCAGGAAGTGAGGAGTCGCAGCCCCGGCTTCCTGGTCGGGCTGCTGACTCACACTGTCATCCTTTAAGCGATTTCCTTCATTTCTTTGCACCTCAGTTTCTCAGTTAAATGAAGGATGAAAATGCAATTCCCCTAGAGACATTGGCAATACCTCATTCATGTTTGCATTTCTTTGCGATAACTGGGATTAGAGATCTGATTACTGCAAAGCAGCATTACATGGAAGATTCCATCTTTATTGTCAACTTGAGGCCTATCTTTGAATGAATATCGTTCAAGGTCTTTTGGTCACCTTTCCCACTATTCATTCCATGCTGCCCCCTCCCCACTCCATCTATTCTTTTCCATGGTGACTTCAAGTGATGTCGTTTGCATGAAGTTTTGTCTCCGAGGAGAGGAGGCTTTAATTTCTCTTGGTTCATTCCAGAACATGGTAGTCCATGGATCACCACAGGCTTGACTGGTTGTGGGAGACAGGATTCAGAGGCCAGGAATGGGATCTCAGTCACAACCTCCATGCTCTTTTAAGGAATTTAGGCTGTCCCTTTGTACTTGATTTTCTTTTTCCTCTTCAAAGTGTCGACCTCTTTGTTTGGCTAGGGTGAATACATCACTTCCTCTTTGGGGTCTGCGTTTTGTCTCCTGCTGGGTTTGAAATGTCATGTAATTTGTTGGGTTTTCACTGGATTATGTTTGGAGTTTGTTTGTCTTTTTTGGTGTTCCCAAATCATCACTGGTCACCAGAACCCTCTCTCTTCTACCTCCTGATTAATGATGAGATAGAAGTGCACGCTCCTCAGCATTTGCCAAGAGAGACACATTCATCTTCAACTGCTCTCTCTGGTCTGTTGCCTATGAAGGGAGTTACCCTGCAAGGGGAAAAACAAAAACAAAAAAAACCCCACAGAGCTGTTATCTTTTCTTCCTGCTGAGCAGTCTGGCTGCTCTGTTGCTTTGCTCACTATCTGGCCAAACTTCATTTGAGAGTGATCTCCATGCTCCTCATCCAGAATATGGTGCAAGCCTCAGGTCCTTCTCTCTTCAGACTCCCCAACCTTTCCTTGGCTCCTCATAGAGGACATTTTCTGCTCCTAGAAGCAACATTTCTCTGCTATAATAAGTACCTTTTGGGGGATACACTTGGAATTTATTATTAACTCATCCCACAGCATTATTGATGTACTGCTACGTACCAGGCACTATACTATACTAGACATCAGGTGTGTGATGAGAATAATGAGGCCAGGTGCGGTGGCTCTCACCTGTAATCTCAGCAATTTGGGAGGCCGAGATGGGAGGACGGCTTGAGGCCAGGAGTTCGAGACCACCTTGGTCAACATAGCAAGACCCTGTCTTTACAAAAAATAAAAAATAAAAAAATCAGCCAGACATGGCAGTGTGTGCCTGTAGTCCCAGTTACTCAGGAGGCTTAGGTGGGAGGATCCCTTGAGCCCAGGAGGTGGAGGCTGCAATGAGCTGAGTTTGCACCACTGCACTCCAGCCTGGGTGACAGAGAGAGACCCTGTCTCTAAAATAAAATAAAATAAAATAGGCTGGGTGTGGTGGCTCACGCTTGTAATCCTAGCACTTTGGGAGGCCGGGGCCAGTGGATCTCGAGGTCAAGAGATTGAGACCATCCTGGCCAACATGGCGAAACCCCGTCTCTACTAAAAATACAAAAATTAGCTGGCGTGGTGCGCGCCTGTCGTCCCAGCTACTCTGGAGGCTGAGGCAGGAGAATCACTTGAACCCAGTAGGCGGAAGTTGCAGTGAGGTGAGATCGCGCCGCTGCACTCCAGCCTGGTGACAGAGCGAGACTGTCTCAAAACAAAAAAAAATAAAATAAAATAATGAGACTTATCTCCTGCTTCTAAGAGCAGGGCTGCAGGCAGAAAAGGGGTGGTGGAGGTGCAAGTAGTGATGGAGAGGGCTGAGAAAAACCTGCAGTCATAAGTTACAAGGCAAAGAGAAGCCCTTTTATAGTTCATAAGCATAGTGATTGGGTTTTTGCACAGATGAGACACCTTGTTAAGATGTTGGCACTTTACTCATAAGACATAAACACACACACACACAAACACACACACCAAAAAACAATGCAAAGAGAAAGATTTCTGATGGTGACTTGAATCTAGTAGTGATAATATTCATTGCACAACTTTACCATCTATTATAGCAAAAACATTCCCCCGAATTCTTACTGTGTGCCAAGCACTGTGCTCAGTAATCTCAATCCTTACTCAGCCCTTTGTGGTGAGTTCTATATTCACCCTTATTTTACAGATGAAGGAATGGAGATTTGAGGAGGCTAAGTAATGAGCGCAGGGTGATTAGCTAATATCAAACTCAGGCACTGAGGCTATGCTGTCTAGAGAAAGAAATACATGCTAGGGACCTTCTGGACAGGGTTCTGCCTATACTTGTGACAGCACTGGAAATTAAGTCCTCTCCCCTGTGTTTCTCTGAAAAGAAATAATTTATTTCCTGTGTTCTGGAAGGACATTGGGTGAAGTTGGTTGTGTTTTAAAGCATGTCCATTGACGCCTCTTTTGGTTCCTGAGCCATTAGCAGGAGGCTCCTGCTATATTTCACATGACCCTGTCTTAGTGACCTCTCTGTTGGCCTTAGGGAAAACATGGGGGCCATTTTGCTAATCCAATGAGGAGTATCTGCTTAGAAAGGGAATTTTTTGGGGGGCAATGCCAGTGGCTGAGTAGCTCTCCCTTCTTCGTAAAAAAAAGAGAAGTCGGCTGGGCACAGTGGCTCACGCCTGTAATCCTAGCATTTTGGTAGGCCAAGGCAGGCAGATCACGAGGTCAGGAGTTCGAGACCAGCCTAACCGACATAGTGAAACCCTGTCTCTACTAAAAGTACAAAAATTAGCTGGGCATGGTGGCACGTACCTGTAATCCCAGCTACTCAGGAGGCTGAGGCAGAAGAATTGCTTGAACCTGGGAGGCAGAGGTTGCAGTGAGCTGAGATCGCGCCACTGCACTCCAGCCTGGGCTACAGAGCTAGACTCCATCTCAAAAAAAAAAAAAAGAAAGAAAAGAAAAATAAATCTTTCTAATATTTTTAAAACTATTAAGAACTATGGCCTGACATGGTGGCTCACGCCTGTAATCTCAGCACTTTAGGAGGCCAAGGCGGGCGGATCACGAGGTCAGGAGATCGAGACCATACTGGCTAACGTAATGAAACCCCATCTCTACTAAAACTGCAAAGAATTAGCTGGGCGTGGTGGCGGGCGCTTGTAGTCCCAGCTACTCGGGAGGCTGAGGCGGGAGAAGGGCGTGAACCCGGGAGGCAGAGCTTGCAGTAAGCCAAGATCGTGCCACTGCACTCCAGCCTGGGCGACAGAGTGAGACTCTGCCTCAAAAAAAAAAAAAGAACTCCTTGACCTCAAGAGAGCATCCCTGAAATTGACCTGCTTGTCAAGGTCTTGGGCGATGTCTTTGTTGCTACAGTTAAGGGGCACCTCACAGTTCTTATCTGACTTCTCAACATCATTTGCTGCTGTGATATTTTGAATGAATCTGTTCTCTTGGTTTCCTTCCTCTCTCTGAATGATGCTTTGCTTGTCTCTTCAGGGTTCATGGTTTCCAAAGATATATTTATTCTCTCATCTCAAGGCACTCTCATTTTCAGAGATCTCATTCATTATCAGGGCTTCCACTGTCAGCTTTATGTGAATGGCTTCCAAATCTCTGTCTTCAGACTGTATCTTTCTTCTTGGGTGCACATGTATGCACAACAAGTCTGTGGCTTGAGTAACCTCAAACTCAAAGGGTCCAACACCTAACTTGTCCTCTTTGCCCCAAGCCCTCTTGTGTTATCCCTGAGAAGGGCACCACTGGCCATCAATTGGCCAAAGCTAGGGGCTTTGGCATCATCTTCCATTCTTCCCATTCCCTCTCACAACAACAGCTAATCCTTCAACACTTTCCATTCCATAATTACGCATATCTCTTTATTTCTCTCCACCTCATCACTGCCACCTCAGTTCATGCCACCATCATCTCTTCCCTGTGTGGACTCTTGCTCCTGCCAATTCATGCAACTCAGATAATGTGAGTTTCCTTACCTTCTTAAAACTCTCCAAGGATTGCTACTGCTCTTGGGATAAAATTTAAATGTTTTGATATGGCTCACAAGGCCCTGTATGACCTGGCATCAACTCTTCCTCTATTCCCCCACTTCACACTCATAATTCTCCAATTTCACATACTACATCTTGCCTATGTGGTCTTCAGTACATGCTAATCCATTGGCCTGGATTGGTCTCCCCTCTCCTTGTAAGCTTTCACTTGGCTAATTCTTGCTTGTCTTTTAGAGATAAAGCTTAGATATCACTTAGCTATGACCTCCCAGACTGGGCTAGGTTGTTTTCATCTCTACCCCATCCTCAAACTCCCACCCACTGGGGCCTCTTTCTTCCTATTAGAGCATTTGTCACTCAATATTAATTGGTTTTTGTCTGTATTGTCTAATAGATGAGCTCTGTGAGGCCAGGAATAGAGCGATTCTATATACTATTATATTTACAGAGCCTTGCACACAGTAGGGTAGAGGTCTATATGAGTTATTTATGGCTGCATAACAAAAGACCCTAAAACCTAGTGGCTTAAAACAACAAGCATTTATTATGTCACAGTTTTTTGTGGGTCAGGAATTTGGGAGCAACTTAGCTTTCTCATGAGATTGCAGTCATCTGAAGGCTTGACTGGGGCTGAATGATCTTCCAGGATGGCCCACTCACATGGCTGATGGCAGGAGGCCTTAGCTACTCACCACTACGTGGGCCTTTCCAAATGTCTGCTTGAGTGTCCTTACGACATGGCAGCTGAGTTCCCCCAGAAGGTGTGATCTAAGAGAAAGAGCAAAGAGGAGACCACTATGCCTAGTATGTCCTAGACTCACTTGGATCATTATTTTGGCCATTTTGGCAACATTGAATTTGTTAGAAGAGACTATATACGGCTCACACTTAATAAGAAAGGAATTAGCCTCCACCTTTTGAAGAAGGACAGCATATCAAAGAATTTGTGGACATACTTTAAAACCACCACAGGCGTTGTTGAATAAGTGAGAATGTGTTGAATAAATGCACCAACGTAAGACACCCCCACCTCCCAATTCATTGATCCAGCCAGATATTTACTGAACACCTACTACTGTAGAAATTCCCCTGTATAGAAGAAGGCTGAACATTCCCCTAAGAAAGTAGGAAACAGAAAAGTAAATGTGGCATTAGTGCTTCCTCTTTCAAACATAATGATAAGGACCTGTGGCTCACACTTGTCATCCCAGCACTTTGGGAAGATGAGGTGGGAGGATTGCTGATCCCAGGAGTTCAAGATCAGGAAAGAGGGGGAACTCCATCTTTACAAAATTAAATGTATATATATAAATTTTTCCAGCGTGGTGGTGTGCACCTATAGTCCCAGCTACTTGGGAGACTGAGGTGGGAGGATTGCTTGAGCCTGGGAGGTCAAGGCTACAGTCAGCCATGATCATGCCACTGCACTCCAGCCTGGGTGACAAAGCAAGACCCCCATCTCTAAAAATTAAAAAAAAAAAAAGACCAAAGGATCACTCTGCCCCAGCAACACTGTCTTTTTATGGAGCCTATACCAAAATCTGAGGTTAAGCAACCCTGTCATTGCCGCCCCAAGACTATCTCAATTCTTGGTCTGACCTCACCCATCTCCATTGCTTGTCTCTCTCCTGTAATCCCCAAGCTTTTAATAACAGCTCTTTCTTCTTGTTTTCTGCTATATATTTGGGAGCCATTTGCATGATTATTTGTCTCATATCTCCTCAGATCATCAGCTCTTGGAAGACAAAGCTGGGTGGTGTCATGTTTAGTACAGAGCTTTGCATCCATTTGTCACTACACAAATGTTAACAGACTGTGTAGGTGCACTACATCAAGCATATCAATGTGTGCACTCAGTATAGCTTCAGTTTGTACAGCATGGGGTCTGCAGCTGCTGTCATTGCCTTGGGAGCTGGGGATCTACCCGTGATCATTCTCACCCCACTCTCACCCCACAGGGCTAGGCTAAAGGGTTAGAACTTTGGCTTCACCTTTCAGTAGGTTGTAACCTCCGACACAGCTCTTTCTGCTTTTAAAAACTCATTTGCAAAGATTGCTTCATGTCCTTTGCCGGCAGTCCCTAAGATTCAGCGAAGTCAGATGTGAGGTTTCTGGAAAACCAAAATGGAAGAGCTAGGAAATACCTGTAGAACATTGTTTGGTCAAACATGTTAAGATCTTCCTCTGTCTTACTCAATGTGTTAGAACAAGCTAGTGGCAAGTAAGAGGGAGGTCTTGAGGCCAAGCCAGTCTTCTGATTCCTGTCTACCACATTCTGCAGGGAGGCAGCAGAGCTTGCTAGTTAAGGAAATGAGCCCTGAAGTAAGACTGTCTGGGTGCATAGCTTGGTTCTGCCACTTACTAGGTTTTTTTTTGTTGTTTTTTTTTTTTGAGACAGGCTCTCGCTCTGTCACCCAAGCTGGAATGCAGTGGCACAATTATAGTTCACTGTAACCTCAAACTCCTGGGCTCATTGCCAGACTCATTAACCCTCAGTTCATTGCCTGTAAAATGGGAATAATAATGGTATCTACCTATAGGGTTGTCGTGAGGGCTAAATGAGATAATCCATGCAAAGTGTAGCATGTGATAACTGCTCAACAAATATTAATACTTATTATACCATTCCTGCCTATATTTTATTGGGGGAGGGTAGACAAATAGTAAAACTTCCTTTTTATTTTTTATTTTTAAATTTTTCGTAGGGATGAGGTCTCCCTATATTGCCTAGGCTGGTCTTGTACTCCTGAGCTCAAGTAGTCCACCCACTTTGGCCTCCCAAAGTGCTGGGATTACACGTGTGAGCCACTGCACTCCACCAGAAAATCTTCTTTGCCCCATACCAGTTAAGAGTGTACATTTTCTCTGGATGTGCTGCTCACACCTGTAATCCCAGCACCTTGGGAGGCCAAGGCAGGTGGATCACTTGAGGTCAGGAGTTCGAAACCAGCCTGGCCAACATGGTGAAACCCTGTCTCTACTAAAAATACAAAAAAAATTGGCCAGGAATAGTGGTGGGCGCCTGTAATCCCAGCTACTTGGAAGGCTGAGGCAGGAGAATCACTTGAACCTGGGAGGCAGAGGTTGCAGTGAGCCGAGATCATGCCACTGCACAGCAGCCTGGGCGACAGAGCGAGACTCCTTCTCAAAAAAAAAAAAATGTACATTTTCTTACTTTTGCCTTTTTAAAAATTAATTATTTTTTTATTTTTGAGACAGGGTCTCGCTCTGTTGCCTAGGCTGGAGTGCAGTGGTACAATCACAGCTCACTACAGCGTCAACCTCCCAGGCTCAAGTGCTCCTCCCACCTCAGCCTCCTGAGTAGCTGGGACTACAGGTGTGCACCATCATGCCTGGCTAATTTTTTTTTATTTTTAGTAGAGACAAGGTCTTGCTATGTGGCCCCAGCTGATCTTGAACTCCTCAACTAGAGCAATCCTCCTGCCTTGGCCTCCCAAAGTGCTGGAATTGCAGGCATGAGACACCGCACCCAGCCTTCATTTTTGCATCTTAAATCAGCAACTCCCAAATGTCTTTTTTTTTTTTTTATACAATATACATTGTCTTCCCCTGAAGTAGAAAGCTTGCTAGGAGCAGTTCCGACAGTTGAAGATGAAGGTGGTGGTGGTGTGTGTGTGTGTGTGTGTGTATTATTTACTTGACATTTTGCAGAAAATTCCTTGTTGTCATCTTTCAGTTTATGACACTGGGTAGAGCCAATCCACTATGATCAACTGATGTGGAGATTCTTGCGTACCTACCTAAGAGAGAGACAGAGAGAGAGGGAGAGAGATGTATTCTTGTAGATTTTGCTTGACACAGGCAAATACTTACGCTGAGGCTGAGGTTGGTTCTTTGATGGCTGAATCATGGAGTGTGAAAGGAGGGAGCATGCTCTCAATTATTTGGATAAGGAGAGAAAAGAGAAAGAAATTTTTATTTTTAGATGGGTGGCAGCATTTGAGGAAGGAACCACTGAAATAAGGCAACAACTCTCATATTTTTTGAAGTTTGTTTTTTATGTTGCCTTCTGTTTGATTTAATGTCTTCTCACCTCTGCTAGTATTAAAGAATTAAAACCAATTAGGAATAATTTTATTTGAGAATTCAACTATATCACAATTCCCTAAGATGATGAAATCCTGTGGTTTATTCAAATTAAGCCCAAGAACCTCATGGTAACATTGTCTGCTAGGTGTTCAATTGTTGGTGTGACTGAAGGAGTCACCCGTGCCCACTCCCCTGGTATGTTACCCTTCTCATACCCTTTCCTGGGCTTCATTATTTTCTGATGCAATGGTGACATTGTTTTTTCCCTTTCAATTCTTCCAAAGGGAAACTTTCCCAGAGAAAATTCCCTGGTAACTACTTTTTGTTGCTGTTGTTGTTGTTTGAGACTGAGTCTTGCTCTGTCACCCAGGCTGGAGTGCAGTGGCACAATCTTCACTCACTGCAGCCTCCACCTCCTGGGCTCAGATGATTCTCTCATCTCAGCCTCTCAAGTAACTGGGACCGCAGGCGCGTGCCACCACACCCAGCTAATTTTTGTGGAAATACGGTTTCACTATGTTGCCCAGGCTGGTCTTGAACTCCTGGACTCAAGTGATCCTCCTCCTCTGCCTCCCAAAGTGCTGGGATTATAGGTGTAAGCCACCATGCCCAGCCCCTTGTAGCTACTTTTATTTGGCAGGAAAAGTCCAACGTTCTGCATAACCACAGTAACCTATACATGTAGCTTAAATTTCCTTTGATTCTCTTATCCCCATGCAGATAACTTATCCCCACACAGACGGAAACTCCAGACAAGGTCCGAGTCAGTGGATAGATTCCTTGTGGCATAGACTGGAGAGGAAGGGGTACTTGGATGGCTTTATTTAACCCTAATTCCAAATTTATTTTACTAAAGAAATTTAGAGATGGAGAGAGGAGGGTGGGGACAGTCATTTGTGTTTCTGCTTTGAAAGTGCTGAGATGCGTTTTCCCCTCCTTCCTGTTTGTCACTTGGCAAGGCTCTTCTGCAATCCAGCGCAGTCTTGTTTCCAGAATGCCTCCCGACACCCGCTGCATGTTTTTTTCTGCCCAGTAAAGGCCCCAAAGTGAGGGCTAGGGCTGATGTTCTTGAAAATCTGAATGTGCTTGTTAGGTAAAAGTTCTTATTTTGAAAGTTCCTAGCTGCGTGCTCCTAGTTTCTGCCTTCCTTTAATTTTGTGAATTCTGGATTCTAGATTCCAGAAGTGAGATCTATCTAAATGAAGGCACAATGGAGAATGGTGGATTTTAAGAGAGGAACAGTGATGGAGTGCCTGGAGGGATGTCCTCACCACCTCACAAATGGGGGCCCAGTAACTGTATGAAATGACCTGGAGATGGAGATATTCCCAAACTCCTGCAGGTCCGTTTGAATATGACTTGCCTGCCTTACTGGAGGGCACCAATTTCTTTTCTTTACTTTTTTTGAGACAGAGTGACGGAGTTTCATTCTTGTTGCCCAGGCTGGAGTGCAATGGTGCGATCTTGGCTCACTGCAACCTTCACCTCCCGGGTTCAAGTGATTCACCTGCCTCAGCCTCCCAAGTAGCTGGGATTACAGGTGTGCGCCACCACATCTGGCTAATTTTTGTATTTTTAATAGAGACGGAGTTTCACCATGTTGGTCAGGCCGGTCTCAAACTCCTGACCTCAAGTGATCCGCCTGCCTGGGGCTCCCGAAGTGCTGGGATTACAGGTGTGAGACACCGCACCTGGCCTTTTTTTTTCTTTAATTTTAAAATTATTTTATTTATTTATTTCTTTATGATAAGGTCTTGTTTTGTTGCCCAGGCTGCAGTGCAGTGGCAAGATCATGGCTCACTGCGGCCTCAACCTCCTGGGCTCCAGCTATCCTCCGCATCAGCCTCCCAAGTAGCTGGGACTACAGGGACGCACCATCACACCCCACTAAAGGGGCACCAATTTCAACAGTTTACAAAATATACTTTCAGCTTACACCCCTTAAAAGGGTTTTCACGCCTTGATTTTCCTGCCCTGCACTCAATCATTTTCCCTTTCACTTCCTGCCCCTGTTGCTGCCGGGTTCTTCATTGTTTAGACCCTGCAGCTGAGGAGGACGGGCATGCAAGCCAAGGGGCAGAGGGGAAACTGCTCAGAAAACATCAGTTTGGAGGGCGCAGAATTCAGTGTCAAGTTTCCATTTCTGGCCTGTGGACCAGCTGGGCACTGTGCAGGGCCCTGGGATGGGCCCTGTGGGGTCCCTCTCTGATGTCTCGCTCAGAACAGAGGCTTCCATTGGGACCCCTCATTATGTGGCTCTTCATGCCTGGTGAGACACCATATTCCTTGCACTGGGCCTCCCCAGTGCTGACTATACTTCCCATCGCCTGTTGCCACACTCGCCGTTGCCATCCTCTTCCTCCCAGGAAGGACTCCCTCCCTCCCAGCCACTGTAGTGGATCTGTGCCCCCAGAGCCTGTTCCACCCTCCATGCAGGAAGAGTCTGCTTGCTGCAGTGAGCCTTAAAGACCCAGGACCATCCCCAAAAAGGACATCCACTGGAAATAGTGGAGATAATGGAAAGAGGCCGATTGGTTGTCCATTCATTTTCTCATTATGCGTTTATTGAGCTCTTCTCTAGGGTGAGCACTGGGCTGATGGCGTTGGGGAAGAGCTCAGAGTAGGAGGGACACTTTGGTCTGTGAGCAAACAATCCAGTACAGGACACTGAGTACCCGGAGAACCCAGAGACAGGTACACATCCATGAGGGGGTGTCTGACGAGAACAGAAAGGCCAAGTTCCCACAAGAAGGGGGATCTGGAGGACTGAGAAGGGAATTCATTTGTTGCTTCATGAAGCAAATGTATATTTTTGAAGACGCTGAGAGATTATTTTACTTTTTTTGCCTTAAAAAAATTTTTTTTCCAGTTTATTTATTTTTTTAATTATTATACTTTAAGTTCTAGGGTACATGTGCACGACTTGCAGATTTGTTACATAGGTATACATGTGCCATGTTGGTTTGCTGCACCCATTAACTCGTCATTTACATTAGGTATTTCTCCGAATGCTAACCCTCCCCTTCCCCTCCACCCCACAACAGGCCCCCACGTGTGATGTTCCCTGCCTTTTGTCCAAGTGTCTCATTGTTCAATTCCCACCTATGAGTGAGAACATGCGGTGTTTGGTTTTAAGTCCTTGTGATAGTTTGCTCAGAATGATGGTTTCTAGCTTCATCTATGTCCCTGCAAAGGACATGAACTCATCCTTTTTTATGGCTGTATAGTATTCCATGGTATATATGTGCCACATTTTCTTAATCCAGTCTATCATTGATGGACATTTGGGTTAGTTCCAAGTTTTTGCTATTGTGAATAGTGCTGCAATAAACATACGTGTGCATGTGTCTTTATAGTAGCATGATTTATAATCCTTTGGGTGTACACCCAGTAATGGGATTGCTGGGTCAAATGGTATTTCTAGTTTTAGATCCTTGAGGAATCACCACACTGTCTTCCACAATGGTTCAACTAGTTTACACTCCCAACAGTGTAAAAGTGTTCCTATTTCTCCACATCCTCTCCAGTATCTGTTGTTTCCTGACTTTTTAATGATCGCCATTCTAACTGGTGTGAGATGGTATCTCATTGTGGTTTTGATTTGCATTTCTCTGATGGCCAGTGATGATGAGCATTTTTTCATGTGTCTGTTGGCTGCATAGATGTCTTCTTTTGAGAAGTATCTGTTCATATTCTTTGCCACTTTTTGATGGGGTTGTTTGATTTTTTCTTGTAAATTTGTGTAAGTTCTTTGTAGTTTCTGGATATTAGCCCTTTGTCAAATGGGTAGATTGCAAAAACTTTCTCCCATTCTGTAGGTTGCCTGTTCACTCTGATGGTAGTTTCTTTTGCTGTGCAGAAGCTCTTTAGTTTAATTAGATCTCATTTGTCTATTTTGGCTTTTGTTGCCATTGCTTTTGGTGTTTTAGTCATGAAGTCCTTGCTCATGCCTATGTCCTGAATGGTATTGCCTAGGTTTTCTTCTAGGGTTTTTATGGTTTTAGGTCTAACATTTAAGTCTTTAATCCATCTTGAATTAATTTTTGTATAACGTGTAAGGAAGGGATCCAGTTTTAGCTTTCTACATATGTCTAGCCAGTTTTCCCAGCACCGTTTATTAAATAGGGAATCCTTTCCCCATTTCTTGTTTTTGTCAGGTTTGTCAAAGATCAGATCGTTGTAGATGTGTGGTTTTATTTCTGAGGCCTCTGTTCCGTTCCATTGGTCTATATATCTGTCTTGGTACCAGTACCATGCTGTTTTTTTCTTCTTATTTGTCTTGCTAGCAGTCTATCAATTTTGTTGATCTTTTCAAAAAACCAGCTCCTGGATTCATTGATTTTTTGAAGGGTTTTTTTGTGTCTCTGTCTCCTTCAGTTCTACTCTGATCTTAGTTATTTCTTGCCTTCTGCTGGCTTTTGAATTTGTTTGCTCTTGCTTCTCTAGTTCTTTTAATTGTGATGTTAGGGTGTTGATTTTAGATCTTTCCTGCTTTCTCTTGTGGGCACTTAGTGCTATAAATTTCCCTCTACACACTGCTTTAAATGTGTCCCAGAGATTCTGGTACGTTGTGTCTTTCTTCTCACTGGTTTCAAAGAACATCTTTATTGCTGCTTTCATTTTGTTATTTACCAAGCAGTCATTCAGGAGCAGGTTGTTCGGTTTCCATGTA